>NC_000020.11:2036031-2187547 GCF_000001405.40 Homo sapiens | reverse complement strand
AGTTACAGATCAATATCTCTCATAAATATAGATGCAATAATCTTCAACAAAATTCCTGTAAATCAAGTCTAGCAACATATAGAAAGTATTATAAACCACAACCAAGTGGGATTTATCCCAGGAATGCAAGGCTGGTTTAACATCCAAAAATCAATTCATGTAATATACAATATTAATAGAACAAAGGAGAAAAACAACATGGTCATTTCAACAGAGGCAGAAAAGCATTTGGGAAAATACAACACTTCTATGATTTTAAAACATCAACAAGCTAGAAACACAAAAGAATTTTCTCAACTTGATAAAGGGCCTCTATCAAAAACCCACATTTACCATCATTCATAATGATGAAAAACTGAATACTTTCCCCTTAAGATCAAGAACAAGAAAAAGATGTCCATTCTCAACACTTCTATTTGCCACTTCTTTTTTTGTTGTTTTTTGTGTTTGTTTTATCCTTAGCAAACTAACGCAGGATATTTGCCACTTCTATTCTGGAGGTTATAACCAGAAAAAACAGGCAAGAAAAATAAATACAGACATTTAACTTGGAGAGGAAGAAGTAAAACTATTTTTACTAAACATGACATAATTTTGTATAGAGAAAACCTTTAAAAATCACTCAAAACTATTATAATAAATGAACAAGTCAGCAACTATGCAGGATACAAGGTAAATATACAAAAATCAATTGTATTTCTATATGCCAGCAACAAACAATCTAAAAATGAAATTTAGAAAACAATTTAAGAGATAAACCTGGAATCCTAAATAAGTGGGAACAACCTGAAAGTCCATCAAGTGATTAATGGATAAATAAAATGTGATATACCCATACAATGGAATCTTATTTAGCAATAAAAAGGAATGAAATACTGATATAAGCTTCAACATGGATGAACTTGAAAATATTATGCTAAGCGAAAGAAGCCAGCAAGAAAAGGCCACATGTCATATGATTCCATTATACAAAATGTTCAAAATAGGCAAATCTATGCAGACAGAAAGCAATTTAATGGCTGCCTAGGGTTGGGGAAGTTGAGAGGAAGTGGCAAGCTACTGTTAATGGTAAATTATTTCCGTAGTGATGAAAATATTCTAAAATTGTCTGGAGTAATGGTCGCACAACTTTGTGAATACACTTAAAACCATCGAAGTAGGTCTATCATATGGTATGTGAATTATATGTCAATAAAGCTGTTCTTTAAAAGTTTCATCTTTGTTGTATTTAGTGTCAGATTGTTTTCATCTAACTTCCTCATAGTCATAAAACTACTGCCATGGCTCCAGGTATCATATCTTCATGAGACAATATCTAGAGTAAAATAAAACAGTGTGTGTTAGGAGATTGCTTTCTCATATTTCTTTTTAAGATTGAAAAAACCTTTCTCAGAAACCTTCAGGCACAATTCCTCTCACAACTCATTGGTAAGAATTGGGCCTTATGTCCAACCTTAATATCAGGAGAATATCACTTCTCTACTCAAAATCCTCAAAGATTTCCCTTCTTACTCAGGGCTAAAGTCCTTATGATGGGCTACAATAGCTTATGTGACTGAAGCATTGCCTCTTACCCCTCAGTACTACTTTGCTACAACCTCTGTAGAATTTATGGGGTCCCTGTTGTGGCAACTCTAAGTACGTTTCAGCATGTCTCAACAGCAGCTTAGCCCTGAATCATGTTTTGGGTACAGCCCAATCTTTCACAAGTCTATCTGTATGCTTTGCTCTGTGACAAGGACACTGTCTTGCCAAGGATGCTGTAAATGTTTTTGAAGTGGGGAAGAGTCTAATTCCAAAATGTTTTAGTATTGTTCACAGAAACAATGAATAAATCATATCCACAACTTGAATTTTTTATGTTTGGTTCAGAAATAATTTGTTCATGTCTAGTATTTTTTTAGTACTTGTAATATTTAAGATTTTGGGGCATATTGGAGTATCTAAGAGATTAATTCATTATTTTAATTGAAATGTGTAATTGAGTAATTGGTTTAGATTTATGATTTTACATTAAAAAGTATAAGCAATTTTGTTAAGTGTGTAAACTGATTTGGTACATTTAAGAAGGCTTAAGGGTCAATATATTACAAGCGTTATTTAAATATCTAAAAGGTTTTGGGCTGGGCCTGGTGGCTCATGCCTGTAATCCCAGCACTCTGGGAGGCCAAGGTGGGTGGATCACCTGAGGTCAGGAGTTCAAGACCAGCCTGGCCAATCAAGGCGAAACCCCATCTCTACTAAAAAATACAAAAATTAGCTGGGCGTGGTGGCACGTACCTGTAATCCCAGCTACTCAGGACTGAACCCGGGAGGCAGAGGATGCAGTGAGCTGAGATCGCGCCACTGCATTCCAGCCTGGATGACAAAGCGAGACTCCATCTCAAAATAAATAAATAAATAAATAAATAAATAAATAAATAAATAAATAACAGGTTATTAGTCAGATAATTAAAGTACCTAAAAAGAAAACCAATTATATTAAATTTATTAATACAGTTAAAAATGTTTAAGTTAATTGCAAAGGCTTCCTTAAACTTGGTTATTAAAGTTTACTAGATCTAGAGGTTAAAAAGTAAGATTTATAAGCTGGATTTAAAAGTTTAAGAACTAGAATTTTCTTAGAACTAATAATTTCTAACCTTAATACATTTAATATTAAATCTAAAGTAATCAAAAATAGTTTTATCCATGTATAAAAGTCATCCTCAGGAGTCGTAAACTGATGTTTCAGGGATGGGCCCATGACTCACTGGAGCCAATGAGATATAAGAAAATGCCAGGATTTCTGGAAAGGTGAAGTTTTTTTTCCCCCTATAAAGCCTACCAACGCATGCCTTTTCTCTTCCCTTAGTCAATACTGTAGACGATACGAGGTCTAGAACAGGAGAACCATCATCTGCCCAGGAGAACCAAGGCCTATTTTATGATGGTGCAAATGTAGAGCCAGAGGAAGAAGCAATACAATGCTGTGAGAGCCAAAGGAAATGGGCCCCTGGTGACACCATTTGATGTCATCAACCTTTACCTGAACCTACACCTAGGCTCTTTGGTTACATGGTCCTATAAATCTCCTTTCCTGTTTAATTCCATTTTAGTTGAATTTTCTGAACATGTCCTGACTAGTAGAAGGATCCAGCAGAGTGCAACGGATTGAGCCTGGATTTGGATTTAGACATAAACTAGTTCAAATCCTGACTTAGCACTCACTCGCTGTGAGGGCTTGATCAATACTTCTCCTCTCTGGGTCGCAGTTCTCTTCCGAAAAATGGCAATAACTCCTCCACCCATATACCTAAGGTACCCAGCATAGTGCCTCTGCAGTACTGTACATGCCTAATCAGTGTGTTCATTTAGCATGTTATAGGTGCTAGGGACCAATCGGGAGCAGAGTCCCTGTCCTCATGGCTAAGCCCATTCTTTCCCTCTTTCTCCTTTTAGTTTTGTATGCTCACATCATGCATGTCCCAAAAGTAATTGAGGAGCTGAACTGAGTCACTTCTTCCCATCCACCAGCAACGCAGAGTCCAAGTTATTTCCCTCCCCAAGACACCAGTGCATTTTCTTCCTCTGACAAGACTCCCAGGATCCCTTTGGTTGATGTTGTAGTTATTTGCTTTCACAGTTTACTGTCCTCACTGAACTCAGGGCATCTCCCTGACACCCAGCATAGGACCTGGTATACAGCAGGTACTTAATAAGTGTTTGATGAATAATCAATTTAAACACAAACAAAGCTCCTAAAACTCTCATCTTGTCTGTTTTCTTATACATATAAGATAGGGACAGTAGTTACCTGCTCTTGGTGGATTCTTCTTGCCCATGAATGCCTACTCTGGTTCCTGCAAACTAGAGGCATTGCACCCCTTCTCAGCTGTCTCACCTCGTGCTTGATCACCCATCTCTCCAGTGGGATCCTGAAGCTGTTGGTGATTAAGGGACTAAAACCATAGCAAGCTAACAGCTGATGTGGTGGCATCCATCACTGGAGTCATTTTTCTGCCTTGGATTTGCCAGTGGATGAGATTGAGATACACTATTAACTTTGATGCTTCACTGGAGGGCTGTTTTGTGCCTTCGGTAATGAGACTTGGCAGTTCTTTTCTATTCTCTACCGGGGCTAGAGCTCAGCCTGTGATTCCAGGCATCTGATTAAATTGTCCTGTGAATTTGTCTTTAATTCTCAAACATGAGTAAAACCAAGTCCTTTGGGAGCATTTTCCTTCATCCACCTCTATACCTGTTAGAAATGTGTTCAATGCAAGAAACAGAAAAGCTAACTGTATTGGTTCTAAACCAATAGAGGTTCGTTTTTCCAATATAAGAGGCCAGAGGCAGATGGCTGCTAGTTTTGGTTCAGCAGCTCAACTATGTTAGGAGACATGACTCTGATTCTCTTGACCTTTCACTCATGGTAAAGAGATGGCTGCCACCACACCAACCATCGTGCCTGTGTTCAAGACAGAAGGGGGAAAAAAACACTTCGAGAACCCCCACCCTCACCCTACATCCAACGTGGCAGACTTTTCCTTACGTTTCGTTAGCCAGAAGTGGGTCAAAAGGCCACCCTTAGCTAGCTTTGAGCAATTGTGATTCATGTCTCTTCCTGGGTATGTCTACCTCAGCCTTCTTCAGATGCTGCTGCAGCTGTACTCAGGGATTAGTGCTTCGAGTTGCAATCTTCTATGTTCTCATCCAACCCCTGTGTGAGCTGGGGCCTCCTTGCCTCTTGAGATCTAAATATGATTGGCTAGAACACTCGGCTGTTAAAGATTTCCTCAAGGTATCCTTGAGTTTCCAGGGTTGGGTAGGAAGATGGCTGATGCCTTCAATGTCAGTTCCAGCTTTGGGCACCTGCTTTCCCAAGTGGTGTTTCTGTTCCACACTGAGTCCCTTCCAATGTCTCTCATTCTGCTCCATCCTCTCCACTATCACCACCCTGTGCTCCTTCAGCCAAAGAAAAGAAAGCAAATGAGTAACAGCCAATCATAAAGTCTTGGGACTTTGATACCTGAGACAAAGCTCAGCCAATCATAAGTCTTATCACACCCTCTCCTTCACCATGACCTTCTTTATGTATATACATCCTGAGGTGGAGAGTTTCATCTTCTTTTTATGTGCAGTGAGCATGTATAAATGAGTATGAGTTCATATAAAATCTCACACAAGGCTTCTATGCCCATCATCTCACCAGATTTCTCAGAAATCCTGGGGTAGGTGTGAGAAGGTCCCCCCTGCACCCGGACCTGCCTGACTTTGAGCCCATTTGCCTTTGAGTTTCAACCCTGAGTCTTAGAGAATCCCATTACAAGAGTTAGGATTTTTTGTTGCAAATAACAGAGACCTTGCCCCCCAACCCCCACCCAACTTTAGCTTAAGGGAAGAAAGTATACAGTGACACAGCTGTTTTTCCTGATGCTCCAAGGACAAAGGTAGAGCCCAGACCTGGGACCCAGAAGTCCTGCAAGAGACTGTCACTCACTTCATTCTGCTGTACCCTTCCTTCAATGCAAACTGGCTTTCTCTGCGTCTCTGCCGCAACCACCAAGAGCTGCAATGCTTTTATATAATAGTTCCTGCATTCAAGAGACCAACCCAAACTAAGCTCTTTGTCCCAAATCAATATTCCCAGGAAAGAGATTGGTTCAGCCAGGATCAAGGATCTAATCAGCTATGGAGGGAGGAATGGGGTCACATTGCTTAAATATGACAGCCTAGTGAGCTTAAAACCAAGCTCCAGTGAGTTATCTGGGAGCATGCAGGCTATTAAGAATTTCATTTCGGCTGGGCCTGGTGGCTCAGGCCTGTAACCCCAGCACTTTGGGAGGCCGAGACCAGTGGATCACTTGAGGTCAGGAGTTTGAGACCAGCCTGGCCAACATAGTGAAACCCCGTCTCTACTTAAAAAATACAAAAATTAGCTGGGTGAAGTGGTGCATGCCCGTAGTCCCAGCTACTCTGGAGACTGAAGCAGGAGAATCACTTGAACCCCAGGAGGCAGAGGCTGCAGTGAGCTGAATTGGCACCACTGCACTCCAGCTTGGGTGACAGAGCAAGACTCAGTCTCAAAAAAAAAAAATTATTCCTGATAAAATTGAGGAGCATTGCAAGAAAACACTTCCTTTTTAATCCATCCCCTTCTTCCTTCTTTGACTTTGGTTTTATGAAATGACAGCAGCTATTTTGCAACCATGAGACAGACAACAAACCTGAGGACAAAAAGCCAACACAGCTGTATCAGCTAGCTTTTGCAAACAAAATATTCTGAAATGTAGTCGCTTAAAATAACATTTATTGCTTAGGATTCTGTGGGTCAGAAATTTGGGCTGGATTCAGTTGGGATGACTTATCTCTGCTCCACATGGTATTGCCTGGGATTCTTTTTATGTCTGGGGTGTCCAATGGAATGGCTGAGTCTCCCTCCGTGAGGTGGAGGTTGACCCAGGCTTGTTCACACGGCAGCAACACCTCAAGAGGACAAGAGTGGAGGCCCAGGCTTAGAACATTTACACTCTCACTTCCATTGCATTCTACTGATCAAAGACAGTCACATAGCCAGCCTGGGTTCAGAAGGTGGAGAAATAGACTCTATGTTTTGATGGGGCCATTTGCAATCTAGCACAACAGACAAGGATGGTTAGTAGAAAAACAGAAAAAGTCTGGCCAGAGATGACACCTTTCTTGAGCTGTTGCAACAACGTAGAACAGGCCTCCTTCAGACTTCATTATATGATTATACAGTTAAATGTCCTGTTTTAAAGAAGGCACTCTTTTACTTGCAAAGGGGTCCCTAGCTTATACACAAGAGATAAGAATAATATCTATTCATCAGAGTGTTGGGAGATGAAACGAGATATGTACGTAGAGCCCTTAGCAGAGTTCCTAGGATACAGTAAGCACTCAGGAAAAGTTTACAGGTATTGGCAATTATGGGGGACTGGTCCATTCCAAAAAGGCATTAGCCGTTCTCATCCTAAACAGAACACACACCCATTAGGGACTTCTATTAGCAACTTCCAAAGGGGACAAGCATATGCTGCGCCCAGCCCCACAGAGACCATACAGGCCAGTTACTAGGGGTCAGTATGGACTGTGCTTAGGCCGTCAGCTGCTGCAGAAAGCTGGGGTCCCATAGGAAACTAAAACTTCAGGCCCACAAAGAGGGGTTCCAGCTCCAGTTCTAAGCAGAGAGGCCGGAGGAAATCACTGAGGTTTTTTTGATGGGGAAACTGAGGTCCAGGGAAGACAGATGACATGCCCAGAGTCACACAGTGAGTTTGGAGCCAAGTCACAAGAGAACTCAGCCTCCTGACTCGCAGCCTAGAGCTTTGATCATTAAACTATGTCCACTCAGAAACGGTTTTGCTCTTCCCCCACCAAGAATGGAAATTCTTGAAGGGTTATACCCTGGGGATAAAGATGTGGCTAAAAGGCAAAACTGGAAGTAAAAGTACTTGCCCATGAATAGTGATGGGTGGTGGCCAAGCTTCTGGAGGACATGGTCTGTTTCTTGGCCTGGATGTTGGATGCTGGATATATGGGTATGTTCATTCTGTGAAATTCATAGAGCTGTATGTTTATGATCTATGTTATATTTCAATTAAAAAATATTTAAAAACTGCTTCTCCAAGATCTTATCCCTACTAGAGGGCTCGTGGAAGGCAGACACAGCTTGGTGTCATGGAGAAGGCATTGAATAAAGGCTTAGGAAATTTGGGTTCTAGACTTACCCAACACTTACTAGCTGGGCAACCTTGTCTTAATGGCCTGAATGTCTGTTTCCTGATTTCTGAGACAGGAATATCAACACTTCTTCCACTAAAGCCGTAGGCTGGTTTGGGGGGCAAACAAGATCATAGATGTGAAAAGACTTAGGAAACAATCAGGTATGTGTGCTACGTACTGTCCAGGTGAGCGTGCATCATTCTCCTTTTGCAAGTGATTGTGTGGGGCAGTGGGAGGGGGGCTGTTCCGGCTCAAAGTGGGCGACTCAGTCCTCACAGAAGCAAATTAGAACCCGGCCTTGTGCATCAGCTGTGCTGAACCTCAGAATCCTGTTTTTATGCGAGGGCTGCAGATCAAGGCAAAATCAAGACAAATGTGATTTCACTGGGGCAGCCGGTCTCTGTGTCCCAGGCATGCGTACCCTCTGTGGAAGCTGAGGCTCCGCTGACATCACCGCGGTTAGCACCCTCCTCCACATCGGGACAGTAGGAGGCTGCTCCAGGTCATCAGGCCCGAGGGAGGGGTAGATGGAGCTCTCCTAGATTGGCAGGGCCAGTGGAGGGACTGTTGACAGCAAATTAAAAGTCTCTGGCAATCTGGGTCCTCATCTCTCATGCCATTGGTGTCTGTGAAATTGTAATTTATGGCTAGAATTAAAGGCTAAAAGGAAAATACCATGGCATGAGACCAAGGGCTGAGGTGGGGCAGGAGTGCAGGTAGGTTAGGGACTGAGTGTCGGGGGCACCGGCTGCTGCCAAGACCTGTGGGTGGACTGAGGTCTGAGAGGTCAGTTCCAGGTCAAGTGCATTCTGAGACCTCTCTCCACATGCACACCCAGCCCCCTTCACTGTGCTCCACTTACAGCTCTCACTAGGACCCACTTCATTTTTAGTGTATTTCTGGCACTCCTGCATCCCTCAGGGCCCTTCCACCCTTCTCTCCGCTCATAGCTGCTCACGGCAGCACCACTGACTCTGCCTGAGGACTTCCTCCAGCTGCAGGAGCTGCTCAGCCTGCACGGGCCAGCCCAGAAGTGCCCAGGAGCTGAGGGCCCTGGGAGCAGCCCTTGGCCACTAAAGAACAAAAGGTGCTGGATAGATACCACCATTCCCCTCGCTCCGCAGGTGAGTCGCCAGCCGTGTAGTCATCAATGTTCTCCAGAGAAACAGAAGCAAAGGGATATCTACACATAGACATAGATAGAAAATGATTTATTACGAGGGATTGGCTCACGTGATTATGGAGGCGGACAAGTCCCGCTATCTGCTGTTTGCAAGCTGGAGGAGGCCCAGGAAAACTGGTGGCGTGGTTAGTTCCAATCTGAGTCTGAAGGCCTGAGAACCAGGTGCTTCCTGTCTCTCTCAAACAATCTACTTATGCTCAAATCCTAACTCAGGGCCTGCTTCTGAGAGAACCCACTGCAAAGCGTGCACTGTGTGTCTTCCCTGCTGGAATGTACACGCTTAGGAGCGAGGGACTCTGGTCCACTGATGTAGTCCAAGTACCTAGGATTGTGCCTGGCACATCAGAGGCTCTGGAAAAACATTTGTTGAACAGATTGTTTACACACTGAATGGCAATTCAACAAATAGTTCTGAAGTGCCTACTTTGCCAGCTCTATGCCAGGCATCCAGGACATACCTGGAACAAGACAGAAGGGAGTCCTACCCCCTGGTACTCATCGTCTAGTGGGAGGAGAAAAATAGACAAACCCACTGCAGGCCATCAGTACTGAGATAATGACACACAGAGGGCTGTGGGGGCACAGAGGAGGCCCCAGTGGACACTCTGGGGTGATAGCCTGGAGCAGGGCTGGCTTTGTGGGCATGTGACCTGTGTGGTCAGGCCCTGCCCTTGGAAGGGCCCTAAACTTGGTGTATTTTTTTATTTTTATTTTTATTTTTTTGAGATGGAGTCTCACTCTGTCACCCAGGCTGGAGTGCAGTGGCGTGATCTCGGCTCACTGCAACCTCCGCCTCCTGGGTTCAAGCGATTCTCCTGCCTCAGCCTCCTGGGTAGCTGGGATTACAGGCATTCGCCACCACAGCCGGCCTCTAAACTTGGTTTAATGCTTTGCTGTTGCCATCTTGAAATTCCTAATTATTTTTGAACTTTTTCATTTTGCACTAAGTCCCACAAATCATGTATCTGGTCCTGCCTGGAATGATATCCCCACTGAGACCGGGGGTGCTGCATGAAGGCAGGTAGGCTGCAGAGCTCTGTGTTCCATGAAGGAGACACAGCATGTGTAGAGGCTCAGAGATGAAAGGGAGCCCAGTATGTTCCAGAAACTGTAGTACTTTGGTTCGGTTGGAGCACAGAGGGTATGGGGTGCCAGAGAAGGTGGCAGGGGCCACACTGAAGGGCATTGTGGGTCTCCCATGCTCAGGAGTCTAGACTTTATCCAAAGGCCATATCACGTGTTAAGAGTGGGGCAGGAGGGCACAGGGGGCAAGACCGTGGCAGCGAGACCTGTCTGAGCCTGTTCCAAGAATCTGAGGCAAAGAGATAGTGAGCCTGGCAGATTTGAATGACACTTAGGGGGTGAAAGAGAGTACTCGGAGGCTGATTGAATACAGAGGAAGAAACTGCCAAAGTCTGTTTAGACTTCATATTCAGAACCCCTAGGGAGTGGAGTGGTCCCGCAGGCGTGGGCACCGTGCCTTTTGGATGCTTGCTTGTGACGACACATTTCTGCTCAAGCCGGGGGAGATGAAACCCCCGTGGGGAGAGGCTTGGCTCTGGCCTCTCTTCTCCCGGCACAAACACAGGCTTCAAATGAGCTTTCTGTCCAGAACTTTAATATGTTAAAAATGACTGTGGAGCTGGACTCTGCCTCCCAGTGCCTGATGCTGCAGGAGTGGAAGCCTCCCGGGGCATGAGAGGGAGAGAGGGGATGATGAAGGGGACCTGACTTGATCCTGCTAGAATCCCCAAGGTCAGACTGTTCCATTCTGGAGAATCCTGGAACACAGAGTGTTGGAGCCAGAAGGAAAGTTAGCTGTGGTCTCATCTGACCTCCTTCCCATGACAGATGGGAGCAGACCCTGCAGAGAAGAAATGAATTGCACAAGGTCACAAGGAGGGTTGGAGAACCCTGGGCTCCTGGCCCCTGCTCTGGGGCTCTGACTCCCAACCCCTGGCACCCCTTACTCCAGAGGATTTGAAAGGCACGTCACTCAAGGTCACAGGATGCCTCTGGCTTTTTACATAATTAAAGATGGGGGTCTCTCTATGTTGCCCAAGCTGGCTTCAAACTCCTGGGCTCAAGCAATCCTTCTGCCTCGGCCTCCAGAGCAGCTGCATGTAAATTACAGGTGAGCTCTACCATGCCTGGCCGCTTCCTTTGTTAATGAACGAAAACTCTAACTTAAAATGCTTTATACTGATGGTTTTCCAAGTGTGGTTCCCAGACCAGCTGGCATCAGCATCACCTTGTTAGAAAGGCCAGTTCTTGGCTTTACCTACTGAATCAGAAATTCTGGGGGTGGAGTTCAACCACCTGTGCTTTAACAGGTGATGTTAATGCCCACTCCAGTTTGAGATCCACTGCCTTAAGCAGTAAAGATGTCTATCATCACACAAATCAAGACGCCCAGGGTTGGTTATCTCAGTGGCCCAATGACTATAGGGTCCCAGGTTATGCCTGTCTTCCCATTCCTCCATCCTCAGTGTGTGGGCCTCTGACTTCAGGCTTGGACTCTCCCAATCACTAGGTGGCTGCTCCATCCACAGCTTCACCATGACTTCAAGAAGCAGAGGAGATGGACTCCCCGGACATCCCTTTTCATCAGTGAGAAAATCTTGCCTGGAAGTTCCCTAGCAGACATCCCCTCATATCTCATTGGCCAGAATTGGGCTGTGTTCCCTCCTCAAACCAATCACTGCCAAACCAATCACTGGGAAATGGAGTTATGATTAGTTAGGAGTAATCTTCAGCTACAGAGAGGAAATACAACCTAGTAACACAAAGGCACAGGTCCTTTGCAGCAACCTGGATGGAGCTGGATACCATTATTGTAAGTAAAGCAACTCAGGAATGGAAAACCAAACATTGTATCTTCTCACTGATAAGTGGGGGCTAAGCTGTGAGGACAGAAAGGGATAAGAATGATACAATGGACTATGGGGACTCGGGGAAGGGTGGGAGGGGTGAGGGACAAACGACTAACCACTGGGTACAGTATACGCTGCTCGGGTGATGGGTGCACCAAAATCTCAGAAATCACAACTAAAGAACTTCTTCATGTAACCAAATACCACCTGTTCCCCCAAAACTTTCAAAATAATAATAATAATAATAAAGCTGAAACAAAAAACACAGCTCCTGGAGCCCCTTCCTCTTCAAATCCTAGTTTTGCCATTTACTAGCTTCCTGACCTTCATCTAATTACTAAACCTGCTGGGTGTGGTGGCTCACGCCTGTAATTCCAACACTTTGGGAGGCCAAGGCAGGAGGACGGCTTAAGCCCAGGAGTTCAAGACCTGCTCTGGCAACATAGCAAGATCCCATATGTACAAAATATATATATATATGTTTTTTAATTAGCTAGGCATGGTGGTGCACACCTGTTTTTTAAAAAATTACTTAACCTGTGTGCCTCAGTTTTCACATCTGTAAAATGGACATAATAATATTTATCTCAGGAGTGTCAGGAGGACTAAGTGGATTCATATTTGTAAAGCACCTAAGACAATACTTGGCTATAGAAGAATTTGTTAAAGAAATATCATATGTAGTTCTTTATCTTGCTTTTTTGTAACTTAACTATGGGGCTTGGAGATCATCCAGTAACAATACAGAGGCCACTTCCTCATTCTCCTTTTTATTGTTATTATTGTTGTAGGATATTCCATTTCATGAGTGTATATAATTTATTCAATAATTGTTTTAATTTATTTGCAATTACAGAGTTGCAGCGGATAAGCTTGTCATGTTGTTTCATGTGTGTGAGTATCTATTGTAGGACAAAATCCTATAAATACAATTGCTGGGTTGAAGGATTTGTGAATTTGTAATTTGATAGACATTGCCACATTGCCTTCCATAGAACGTTACGCCAATTTACACTCCCACCAGCAGTGCATAAAGGTGCACGCCTCTCCACAGCCTCACCACCAGAGTAGTTACCATTTCACCACACCCCTCCACCCATGACAATCCGTGTGTGTTGTTGCC
The DNA here is from genome assembly GCF_000001405.40 of Homo sapiens. Classification (NCBI taxonomy): domain Eukaryota; kingdom Metazoa; phylum Chordata; class Mammalia; order Primates; family Hominidae; genus Homo; species Homo sapiens. Next base: position 2,174,643 of record NC_000020.11, on the reverse strand, counting down.
TTCAATTGCCCAGGAAGAAATAGACCCACGAGGAAAGACAACTTGGCTGAGACGGATCAGTGAGCTGCAGGAAGTCCCAGATGAGGACCCTCCTCAATCCCAGTACCACACTTCACAGTTTACAAAGCACTTCCCGTCCTACAGTAGACCATCCCTTGGGTCCCATACTGTGTACAGCAGCTCCCAGGATGCTCTCACTCCCAGCAGCCAGCACCTGTGTCTTTCAGAGGACAGTTCGTAGCCTGCTCGACCCAGCTTTGCCTGTACGTATGGAGAGCTGGAAGTGCCTGGAAAGGTATGTCCTCCAGAGGGGAATTTACTCCCTCTAATTACCAATGAGCACAGGAGTATGAATACCCCAGCTCCCTTGCCCCCCAAATGGGCCAACTCTGAGGTATGACTTATGCCACCTCCTTTGCAGGACAGACCTGGTGGGGCATGGTCTTGCTGGCCCTGCCTGCTTCCCCTTCCTCTAGCTGTTCCTGGAAATACTTCACACACAGTAAGTCATTTTCACAGGAATCCTTGGTTCAGGGTCAACTTCTGGAGATCCCAACCTAAGACACCTCCATGGTCTCCTTCATGCTTCCCTGTCATTGGACCCATTGTACAGATGAGAATACAGTGGCCAGTTAGAATTGACACAGCTACCAAGTGGCTGTGGTGGGGACTAGTACCTAGGACTTCTAGCTCCTCATCCATGTTCCTTCAAAGGAAGGACCGTAACTCCAGCCAGAGCTGAAAATGAAATCTGTCTCTTTTTTCTTCTCACCTCCTGAATGCAGTAAATTCATGAACACCTGCCCGTGTGTGCATCTCTCCATATGGTGTGTCCCTGGGCCTCTGCCTCTTCTCGTCTCCAAAGTGAGTATGCTGTCTGATACTAAAATCGGTTCAGTATTTCATGTGGGTCACATCCTACATGTTGAGTTTGACTATAATTGCGCCAGGCAGACCATAATACATTTATTTAACACTAACATACTTTAAATTCGGACCTCTTGCATGTTATTTGCATCTATTTGATTGGGGAGGGGAATGAACAGATACACCTCCTGCGTTGGTCAAGTTGGCCTCTCATGACCTAGGATGGGAGCTGAGGACCAACAGGCTTGCCCCTGTCCCAGGGTCTGTACTTAAATCAGTGGCTTAGTTGACTCCCACCCTGCTCTGTCTACATACAGGGCAGAAGCTAAGGCGCCTATGTGAGCCTTATGTTGCCCCAGGGCTCACCTTGCCTAGGACTGGGGTGATGCCTCCTCTGTGTCCAAATGTCCACTCCCACACATGTCACTCGAGGCCATGAGCTCCATGAAGTCCAACAGCACCTCTGGTCACTGCTGCATTCCCAGGGCCCGGCATGCAAAAGATGTTTAAAGCACATTTTGGTCAGATGAATGAATGAATGAACGAATGAGTGAATGCATGAATGCACACCGGCTGGTTCATCTTTCCAAAGCACAGTTCGGATCCTGTCCCTCTCTTGCTCAGAAACTCTTAGTGGCTCCCAACGACTGCAGGATAAAACCCAAGGCTTCATTCTGGCATTCAAGGCCCTTTATACCGTGTTCCAAACCTATGAATGTACAAAAAATTATTGCACATGATTCGTGTCAGACCTGTGACAATGATCCTGAAACTGAGCCTTGGAGAGGGAAAGAGGTGAATGCTCTTACCTGCGTCAGTTTCCTCCCCTCCCCTCCCCTCCCCTCCCTCCCTTCCTTCCTTCCTTCCTCCGCACCTGGTAAGAACATACAGCCCAGGCCCTAGGCCAAATATCAGAAATGATCTGAAGACCCTGCCTGGGCAGGGACAGCTGTCTGCAAGGAAGGGGAGTTAGGATTAGCCTGAGGTTAGCATTGGAGTGGTTTCCCAGAAAGACTCTGGCTGTACTTTCCCAATCTTTCCAGGAGGGGGCGGCAGCATCCCTGGTTACAGGCGCTCACGCATCTCGGAGCTCCCGCGCAGGACGTGTCCAGGGGTGGAGAAGTGTGTGTCTGTGTTTGCAAGTGTGGCAGAGGGTCTCAGCATATGATTGAGTGGACACGAGTGAGAGCGCTCCAAGGGAGGTGTGTGTGTGTTCATTAGACTCTCACTCGGCTTATTGTGTGTCTACTCTGTGCCAAGCCCTGACTCTGATACTTGGGACCAGCTCAAGAGACCAGAGCTCAGTAGAGGGGAGCAAAGAAAAAAGCAAGTAAATAAATAAATAAATAAATAAATAAATAAATAAATAAATAAATAAAGTGATGTCACCAGATAATAAAGATCTAAGGTGGGGGTCGGGACTGATTTGAACCACGTGGTCAGAGCACCTCTCCAAGGAGGCAACCTCCATACTGAGACCAGAAGGACAAGAGGAAACCAGCCAAGCACAGATAAATGTGGGAGATGGTTCCAGGCAGAGGGAGCAGGGAGGGCAAGGTGAGATGCAGTGCTGTCTTGTAGGAGTTTGAGTTTGAAGAGTTCGAATTTAATTCTCTTTTCTTTCTTTTTAATTTCTTTCTTTCCTTTCTCCTTTCTCCTTTCTTTCTTTTTCTTTTTCTTTCTTTCTTTCTTTCTTTTTCTCTTTCTTTCTTTCTTCCTTCCTTTCTTTCTTTTCTCTTTCTCTCTCTCTCTCCTTCCTTCCTTCCTTCTTTCTCTTCTCTCTCTCTCTCTCTTTCAGACTCTCACTCTGTCACCCAGGCTGGAGTGCAGTGGTGCAATCTCGGCTTGCTGCAACCTCCATCTCCCAGGTTCAAGCGATTCTCCTGCCTCTGCCTCCCGAGTAGCTGGGATTACAGGAGCACACCATCACGCCCGGCTAATTTTTTGTATTTTTAGTAGAGACGGGGTTTCATCATGTTGGCCACGCTGGTCTCAAACTCCTGATCTCCAGTGATCCACCTGCCTCGGCCTCCCAACGTGCTGGGATTACAGGTGTGAGCCACCGTGCCCAGGCTGTTTTTGTTTCTTGTCTTCGAATTTAATTCTAAGGACAAGAAGTCCTCAGATGTTTGAACAGCCAAGTGATGCGATGTGATGTTTGATTTACACTTTCAAAAGATCTCTGGCTGCTGAGTGGGAATGTGTTAGAATTGGGCCAGTGACAGTGAGGAGGCTACTGCACCAGTCCAGGCCAGAGTTGCGGTGTGACCATGGGGGCTGAGGAAGTGTGTGGACGCAGCACATTTGGGAGGTGGCACTGTTGACAGTGGGGGCGAGAGGCGGAAGCAGGGCAGCTCCTGGTTCTTGGCCTGAACCAAGACTTCTAAGAGGAACAGCTGTATCAGGGGCAGTCTGGCATTTGAAAGGCTCATTTCTGCCTGAAACCTCTACGGTTTGGCTCCCTGACCTGACCAGTTCAGGACTTCCAGGGCCAGTCCCTTCTCCATCCTCCTCTTTTTTGGAGGGAGGTTCTGGAAACAGCTGGTTCCATCCTAACCTCCAGGCTTACCAGGGCCCTGCAGGGCTCAGGAACAGAACATTCTGCTTGGATCCTATACGGGGACTTTTCAGTTCCAGACAGCTCTTTGCCTGCCCTTCCTCCCTCCCTCCCTCCCTTCCTTCCTTCTTTCCTGCCTGCCTGTCTGCCTGATTGCCTGCCTGCCTGCTTGCCTTGCAATCATAGCTCACTGTGGCTATTTTGCTGTTGCTGTTGTTAGAGACAGGGTCTCATTATGTTGCCTGGGCTGGTCTCGAACTCCCGGGCTCAAGCGATCCTCCTGTCTTAGCCTCCCAAAGTACAGGTGTGAAACACTGCCCCTGGCTTAATGCTTTATTCTTGACTCATTCAATCCTTGATGGGAGGGAGAATGCTGGCTCTGGAGACAGGTAGCATGTTGTGAGGAAGGAATCCAGACCCTATGGAGAGGCACTCAGCTAAGGTTGCAGGGGACAGCGAGACCACTCATCCAACACATGGTGAATGAGCCTTCAGAAAACTCCATGCCCAGCTAATGCCAAGAGGAGCAGAGATGAGCTCTCTGCCAAGCCCTACCCAAACTGTACATTTATGCACACAGTATGTGTTCCTGTGTTAGTCATTATGTTATGGGTTTGTTATGCAGCAATAGATAACTGGAATAAATAACCTTGAATCTCAGCCCTGCCCTTTCCAGCTGTGTGAGCTTGAGTAAGTCACTTAACATCTCTGAGTCTCAGTGGCCTCAACTGTGGAATAATACAAATAATAACAGAAGGAGAATCATGCTGCTATAAAGACACATGAACACGTATGTTTACTGCGGCACTATTCACAATAGCAAAGACTTGGAACCAACCCAAGTGTCCATCAATGATAGACTGGATTAAGAAAATGTGGCACATATACACCATGGAATACTATGCAGCCATAAAAAAGGATGAGTTCATGTCTTTTGTAGGGACATGGATGAAGCTGGAAACCATCATTCTCAGCAAACTATCGCAAGGACAAAAAACCAAACACCGCATGTTCTCACTCAGGTGGGAATTGAACGATGAGAACACTTGGTCACAGGAAGGGGAACATCACACACCGGGGCCTGTTGTGGGGTGGGTGGAGCAGGGAGGGATAGCGTTAGGAGATATATACCTAATGTAAATGACAAGTTAATGGGTGCAGCACACCAACATGGCGCATGTATACATATGTAACAAACCTGCACGTTGTGCACATGTACCCTAGAACTTAAAGTATAATTAAAAAAAAAAAAACAGAAGGAGGATAGATATCTCATGAAAAATTCTCATAACACCCAGAAAGGGGAACTCGTTTGTGAAGCATCCCCCACAGACAGCAAGCAGAGATGTGCAGGCTTGAGCCTGAGGTTTGTGCAATACACAGTGCAGGGGTTTTGGTTCAGTGCTCTGAAGCACTCCGTAAGGATCCAAGCCGGGTTGTCGTGGTGTTGGATGTGGTGGTGTCTGAAGAGATAGTCAGTATCCAGAGGCTTAGTGCTTCCCGGCCCATGATCCTGAGCCGGTTCACCAAAGGGCCTGCCTCCCCAAGCCAGGGCCCATGTGCCATGCAGGCTCATCCCACTGCAAGGAGCTCGGGGCCTTGAAAACGTCACCCCTGGGACCACCACCACCATTGCGGTCACACCCTGGACCCCTGGACTTGCAGTCCTCATATGAGGAGGACTCAGGGGGTATCAGGCCCACAAACGCTGTTTCTAATCACCTTCTGCTTACCTTCCAATTCCCACTGAACCCATTCTGAACCCTACCTAGGAGCTACAGACCCTCCACCCCTCTTCCAGCCACAGTGGAGGGGCTGTGCTGCAGAATCAACACCTGATCCTGGCAAGACATTCACCAGGCTGTCTCGGTTCCCTGACCTATAAAGAGGGCAGGATGACCTTATTTGCGGAGTTCTCATCAGGATTAAAGATAATAATAACTACACAGTCGCCGGCCCTTCTAGAAAGCTGGAGGTCGGCAGGACCACATGCAAGTGCTCCTGCAGACGGAAGCTTTTCTTCCAAGCCTCCAAGGACACTCGCCGGCCCTCTCCAGCACCCAGGCAGATCTGGGCTGGGCTGGAGGCGTGGGTCACCACCAGAGCCCTTGCTGCCCACGGTGTGTGATGCTGGCTGTTGCCAAGCAACAGGCCTCAGCTCAGGCCCCGAGCCCCAAGGTCAGCTGCCCACCAACTGGCTTGCTATTTCTGGGCTATGGGGGCTGCCAGTGCTCCTGGATTCCTTGCCTCGATCGAGTCCTGTGGGAGGAGAAGCATACCTTGGGCTCTGGTTTGGGAAATCCATAAGTTGCCATATGCCCCTTTTATTTTTTTATTTATTTTTATTTTTTTTGAGATGGAGTCTCGCTTTATCGCCCAGGCTGGAGTGCAGTGGCGTGATCTCGGCTCACTGCAAGCTCTGCCTCCCGGGTTCATGCCATTCTCCTGCCTCAGCCTCCCAAGTAACTGGGACTACAGGCGCCCGCCACCACGCCCGGCTAATTTTTTCTATTTTTTCGTAGAGACAGGATTTCACCGTGTTAGCCAGGATGGTCTTGATCTCCTGACCTCGTGATCTGCCTGCCTCGGCCTCCCAAAGTGCTGGGATTACAGGCGTGAGCCACCGCGCCCGGCCTGCCATGCCCCTTTTAGAGATGATCCAGGAGAGGCTGGAAATCCCAATCTGTCACCAGGTTTGGGGCCCAGAGAAGGGGAGGGGCTCAGCAAGACACAGAGCAAATCAGTGGTACAACATGGGCTGTTGAACATAGATCTGATCTCCTAATTCCAATCCCCACTGGCAAGGTGATGCAGACAGCTCAGAGAGGTCAAGGGACTGACTCACGGTCATGCAGCAAGTAAGGGGCAAAGCTAGGATTCCAGCCAGGTCTGTCTATTCCAAGATGACTGTAGCATCCTTTATGTACCCTTGTGATTTCCAGGCGGGACTCCTTGGAGGCTCAGGTGTCTGCAGAAGTGTCTCAGGGCCTCGGAGGGAAGGTAAAAGAGACGCTGATCTCGCAAGTGACACTCTGGTATGCCCTCCTCATCTTCATCTATTTTATTTGGGTCTCACAAGGAAAAAAAGAAAGGCTAAAGTGTTTTGGGGAAATTGATGATCCATTCGGTGCCTTAATTGCATCAACGTGAAAAATCAGGCTCACAGAGGGGAAGCGACTTGCCCAAGATGCACAATAAGAACTGGGAGCCGGCTGGGCGCGGTGGCTCACGCCTGTAATCCCAGCACTTTGGGAGGCCGAGGCGGGTGGATCATGAGGTCAGGAGATGGAGACCATCCTGGCCAACATGATGAAACCCCGTTTCTACTAAAAATACACAAATTAGCTGGGCACGGTGGCATGCACCTGTAGTCCCAGCTACTCAGGAGGCTGAGACAGGAGAATTGCTTGAACCCAGGAGGCGGAGGTTGCAGTGAGCTGAGATGGTGCCAGGGCACTCCAGCCTAGTGACAGAGTGAGACTCCATCTCAAAAAAAAAAAAAAAAAAAAAAAGAACTGGGAGCCAGGATCCCTGACCCCTCCACTCTCCACCATGGGTTCCCATTGCTCCCCATCTTGGGGATTGGAAACAACACGTCCAGAGGACTTACGTGCTGCCAGCTCCTCGATAGGGACTGTGCAGCAGCTACTAAATGCTGAATCACTCCTTTTAAACCGGCATCATGAGACTTCTTTCATCCCCATTCCACTCCCTAAGTAGCATCTCGTCCCTTTTTTTCTCATGCATCTTGGACTTGGTGCACTCAGAAATGACCATGTGATTTATTGATTCACTTATTCATCGCCAGCCTCTCCCCAACTAGAAGGCAAGCTCCAGGGGAGCAGGGACCAAGTCCCTCTTGTTGACACCTGTCTCTGCCTCGCCTGCACTAGGCTTGGCACACAGTAGGTGCGCAGGAAAGGAATGATGAAGGTGGAGCCTCATAACACCGCTAGAGGGGACAGTTGTCATCTTTAGTCACCCAGTATCCTACTCCCCTTCCTAACAGTACCCTGATTTCCACATCCTGTGGAGTCTTAGGGATTTGCTACATCTCCCAAAATAAATTATAGTTCTCCCCTCCCCTGCAGAATAAATTAATAATAATAAATAATAACAATAACACTAACATTTATTGAATGTTTTCTGAATGCCAGGTACTAATGTTCTAAGCACTTTACATAGATATTTCATTGAATCTTTACCATAACCTTACGCCCAGACACAGATGCAGCTCCCAGCTCTCTTTCAGGGAAAAAGCAAGGCTCAGAGAAATGGAAACTTGCTAGCAGGTAGCAGACTGGGATTTGAACCGAGATCGACTGGCTCTGGGGGTGCCAGGCCTTTTTGCTCCCTTGTGAGTGCATTTTCCTTAGGTCCTGCCTCTCACTGCACTCATACAGCCGAAGTGAGATGTGTGACCTCACCATCTCGCCATATGGGACGTTATCGTCTGAGTGGAATGATGAAGGGTGGGAGAATTAGTGGAGATGCTAATCCCATAGTTGGGGTCCTGACAATCAGGTAACTTCTCTTCTGGTTCCTGCCTGATTCCAAGCCTGCCTCTCCAGCCTTTGCCTCAATTCTGTGTTCCCTAATAATCTCCCAATAAATTCTCCATTCTTCCAAGAACCAAAGATTCTAACAGGTACAAGAACAAGAGGGGACGTGTCAGCTCCTATTGTGCAACGAAACATCCCCTAAGTTTAATGGATTAAAACAATAAGCAGACCAGGTGCGGTGGCTCACGCCTGTAATCCTAGCACTTTGGGAGGCCCAGGTGGGCAGATCACCTGAGGTCAGGAGTTCAAGACCAGACTGGCCAACATGGTGAAACCTAGTCTCTACTAAAAATACAAAAATTAGCCGGGTGTGGTGGCGGGTGCCTGTAATCCCTGCTACTTGGGAGGCTGAGGCAGGAGAATCTCTTGAACCCAGGAGGCAGAGGTTTCAATGGGCTGAGATGGCACCACTGTACTTAAGCCTAGGCAACAGAGTGAGACTCCCTTTCAAACAAACAAACAAAAACAATAAGCAATTATTTCTAACGATTCCATGGATCTTCCGGTCTAGACCAGCTCATCTAGGATGGCCTCAGGCATCTGTCTGGCGCAGCCGGGAGGGCTCACTGCTGTCTCATGTGGCCTCTCACCCTCCAACAGGCTAGCTCAGGCTCATTCATGGTGGTCTCAGCGTTCCAAAGAGCGGCGGTGCTTCCAAGCCTCAGCTTGCATTATGTTTGTTATTGTCACCATTGGCCAAAGCAAGTCATGTGGCCATGACCATTGTCGGGGTAGGAAGAGATTTCCAAAGGGCATAGAGAGAGGAAAGGGATCGCGTGACCATTTTTACCATGTACCACTGCTGGGAATTATTAGAGGTGGTGCTGTGCTGATCACTACTGTACAAATGGGGAAACTAAGGCACGGAGCAGGAAAGCGGCTCTGCCAGCAACACATGGTGAGTTGGACACAGAGGGCTTTCGAAACCCTGTGGAATCTCTAACCTCAGCCACTGTTTAAGGCAGGGCTTGGTTTTTCTCACTCTGATGTGAAACAAGCTGGGACAACAATCTCTCTTGCAATAAGGAAAATGCAACAGTGAAACATTTGTTGTGCAAAATTAGAGTCCCATTTCCTGTGGGAAGTGCTGACCTGGGATAATTGCCTTTATGTGCTGAAAAATAAGAGACGGACCTGAAAGTGTTTTCCGGAATCCAAAAGGTGGCTTTCTTTAAAAAATCAATTACCTACTCCCACTTCAGAGAAAACACTTCACAGACGCATTTTACATTGTAAGTAGAATTCAGTGCTCCCGGCTAAAATCTACCTGAAAATTCTCAAGGACTGAGAGGCCAGACAGAGGCCCCCAATTACCTCTGCTACCGACGTTTCAGGCGCAGGACGCAGTGGCCATCTCACTAATGAACTGCTTTTTTCATCCAGAGGAAAACTCAAAAGTGTAAAATAGGCCTCGGACTTGGCTTTCCCTCCCACGCCTGGACTGCAGTCGACCGGGTTGACGCCTCCCTGGCGCGTGCTTGATGGTCACATAGGAAAGACACTGAAGGGACTCCCTTCATCTGGGTCTGCTGCTTCCGCGTCGGGCTCAGGTTCCCTCCTCCTCATTGTGGGGAATTGGCTGATGTTCCAGCAGCACTGGTTTTCTCATCGGTAGAATAGGAGCAGTAACAACACACCTAGCAGCATGCAATCGTGTCACAGTGAGGCTTTCCAGGCTGCAGTATTTTGTCTGAAGGCCAGGACGAGGGAGCTAACATTTGTCAAGCACTTCTTATGCACCTTGGGCCTCCACCTCCCCTCAGTCCCATCTGGGCTCAGTGGGCAGCGAGTGAAGGGTCAGGCTCTGGAGCAGGACTGCCTAGGTTCAAATCCCAGCTCCGCCAGTCACCTGCTGGCTGACTTCAGGCAAGTGGGTTAACATCCGTGTGCTTTGCTTTTCTCATCTGTACAATGGGGTTACCCATTGTGCCTAGCTCCTAGAGCAGATGCCCGCAGTGAGTTGCTAGTACCTGCCAAGGGCTGGGAGAAGCATATGCGTCCTTGTCCCCAGGGGACAGGAGGAGGAGTATGATGGAGGGTGCAGATGGGAGAGGAGGTTAGCTCCACCTTTCACCTATTGAGCTGAGGCACCCTTGGACAGGTGGGTGGAGGTATGGGCACATTTGGGGGAAGCAGGAAGGCACAGATGGGTAAAAGGCGTGGAGATGTCACTGGCCCTGCAATAGGGTAGGGAAAACCGTGATGGGCGCCCCTCTTCTCAGAGGAAAGTGCTATGTGACTCTAGAGAAAACAGTTTGAGATGCTGATGGGGTGGAGGTGAGCCCTGGCCTCAACCACAGCCTCTTTATAAAGGAGGTCTCTGAGAAAGGGAAGGACGACCCTCATGCTGGTGCCTCGACTGAGCCAGCAGCCCTTGGTTCAAGTCATTCCCCACTCATCGAGCCTCAGTTCCTCTCTATTTAAAATGAGGACCACAGTGTGCAGTTTCAGGGGGTGCTGTGGAGATTAGAAGTGTAACCGGTACATCAGGGCATGACACAAAGAAGGTGTTAAGAGTCAACAGCTGTGCTCCTGACACTCCATTCTCCCCTCCTCCCCAGGATGAGGGAGCTAACGTTTGTCAGTCACTTCTTATGCTCCTTAGGCCTTGACCTTTCCACAGTCCCGTCTGGGCTCAGGGGGCAGCAAGTGGAGGGTGAGGCTCTGGAGTAGGACTGCCTAGATTCTATTGTCATGGCCAACCTGTTGGCCACTCCCAGAGCTCTCCAGGCTCTGGCCACTTCTCACGTCTCCACCCTGACAGCCTGGCCCAAGAACCTCCAGCCCTTCCGAGTTCATGGGGCTCCTCCTGGCCCATCTGCCTGCTTCTTCAGCCATCTCCATCCCAATTTATTCCTAATATAGAAGCCAAGGGACCCTTTGAAAATGGAAGCCAGATCCTGCCACTCTGCTCAAAACCCTCAAAAGTACCCCTCCCTACTTGGAGGAAAACCAGGGACCATGCAAAGGACTGCAAAGCCCCTGATCTGACACCTCCGACTTCCCTTCTTCCCCTTGCTTCCTCTGCTGCAGCCAGCCTGGCCTAGACGCCCCCAACCCTCCACTCAGGGCTTCTGAACCTGCTGCTCCCCCTCCCAGCCACCGCCTGGCTCACCCCAACTCCAGTCAGGCCTCTGCTCAGCTGTCACCTCTGCAGGGAAGCTGCCCTGACGGCCTGGCCCTCCATATCCCATGACCTGACTTCTCTCTTCAAAGCTCTCCCTGCCTGATGTATACGTATACGTTTGTTTATGTATATGTATCTCCCTGTACCGGGCTCCATGTGCCAACAAAGCAGGGACTGGAGGGATGGCTGATTCTGAAGCCCCGGGAGCTGGCATGGCCTTGCTCACTGTGGACCCTCAGGGACTGTGACTACAACAATAGCTGTCACTCACTGACCTTTGAGAAGGAGCTGGACTCCTGACATGCACCGTGTCCCCATAACTCTGAGAGGTCAGTGACAGTGCTAGTCCCAGGTGGACAGAGGATGAGCTACCTGAGCCACTCTGTGGGTAGGAGGAGGCATCCGGTTGTGCCCACAGGGGCAGCTCAGGCCATGAGTCCAAGCTCAGGAAAGCTCAGAAGGCAGCGAGGCGGCACCAGAGGGAGCACCTGGAGCCCTGCGCGTGTACAGACGGGAGGATGGAGAGGCTCGGCCTCGCAGGGTCATCACTGCCTGGGTGGGGCTCAGGCCCCAGGCAACAGCATCCAGAACATACCAGGGCCTGGGCTCCTCCCAAGCTCCGAGCGTCACCCATGCAGTCTTCTTTCAGAGCCAGTGGGCCGGGTGAATGGGTGGTGGGATCTGTCAGGGCAATTAGAGAGCACAAAGCTGAAGAGCTGGCAGCTTAGGACATGACCTGGGGAAGTTTCTCTGGGCAAACACAGAATAAAGGCTTTGCCTGCCCCTCACCGCTGTCCAGTGCCAGATTATGTAATGTGTTGATGCTGCAAGTGGCGTCCTCACAGCCCTCTGAGAACTCTGCCTGCACCCCAGGAAATGAGTCCCAGAGGAATGACCCAGCTGGCTGGACACCCTCCAACCTGCCCAACTGACACACGTGCACGCGCGCGCACACACACACACACACACACATTCACACACAGACACCACTGTCCAAGGGAAAGCAGAAACCTGGCTTTGGAGTCATTCACTCACAAACTCTTTACTGAGCATCTACCATGTACCCTGCACCCTACTAGATGCTGGGGATATGGCAGCGAACACAGTGGATAAAAATGATGCCCCTGGCATGTGGGGGGAGAGACAGACAAGAAGCATGACACGCAGGTGGGATGTCACATGGTGATGTGTCCTCTGGAGAAAAACAAAAACAAAGCCAGCAAGGAAGACAGAGGCGAGGGTGTGGCTGGGCAGACATCAGGGCAGGGGCAGGGGGAAGCAGTGCAGGAGAGTGAACAAGTGCAGGGGCCCTGGGGCAGGCCTGTGTGTCCTTGCCATAACACAGCAGCTCAGGGCAGGGTGGGGGTGTGGGGAGGCTGGAACGGCGTGAGTGAGGGGAGAGGAGAGTAGAGGATGTATGCATGGTGAGGACTCGGAGGGATGGACACCACTGCAGGCTTCCAGCCAGCAGACCTGAGGGCAAGTCTGGTCCTATCAACATGCACAGAGTGGCAGCTGTGGGTCTCTCATCTACAAACAGATCTGGGGGTCCCCTACCTCCTGAGGCCATGCTCCCTCCCATCTGCAGCCTGCCCATCTATTACTTCTCCATATTTGCTCCCTCCTCTGCAACTCACCTATGCTTTCATTCTGAGCTATGGGCAGGAGGAGGTGACCTCCTGCTCCCAGTGGTCCAGGTCCGGCAGGATGGACAGCACCATGGCTGCTGGGAGAAGGAAGATGCTGCCAGGTGGGCAGGAGGGGCCCAGGTACTGGCAATCAAAGGTCAGAGCTGGTAGCTGACTCTTGGAGCTGGAAGGACCCTTCTGGACCAGCCACCCCTACCTTTCCCCTCCAGCTTTTATTTATTTATTTAAATGATGTCTCACTCTGTCACCCAGGCTGGAGTGCAGAGGCACGATCTCAGCTCATTGTAGCCTCCGCCTCCTGGGTTCAAATGATTCTCCTGCCACAGCCTCTTGAGTAGCTGGGATTATAGATGTCTGCCACCATGCCCGGCTAATTTTTGTTTTTTTTTTTTTTATAGTAGAGATGGGGTTTCACCATGTTGGCCAGGCTGGTCTTGAACTCCAGATCTCAAATGATCCACCTGCCTCGGACTCCCAAAGTGTTGGGATTACAGGCGTGAGCTGCCACGCCCAGCCTGCCCTCTAGCTTTTAATTTGAATATTTTTGTACTACAGAGAAATTAAAAGAATCATGCAATGAATACCCTTACACCCTTCGCCAAGCCTCCCTAGTTAGCATTTTGCCACATTTGTGCTGTTCTCTTGGTAGGCAGGTATGTGGCTGGGGTAGGGCAGGGTGGGAGAGAGCGAGAGAGATATCATAAAGCTTCACCCCTAAAAACTTGGGCATGCATCCGTGTATCAAGCAGAATACTACAACAAGCGGCATTCTCCCACACAACAAAAATACTAACTAAATACCAGAATAACCAAAATGTTTAACATTGTTACAAGGCTGTCCTCATACAGCTCATATTCTAGTTCCCCAAATGTCTCGATAATGTCCTTTATAGCAGTTTTACTTTTATTCTTTTCAGTACGGGATTCCATCAAGGATCAGGCACTTCCTTTGGTTGTTACATTCCTTTAGGGTCTAATCTGGAATGAATAGTCCCCACTGTACCATCGCCCCCACCTTTTTTTTCCTTTCATGACATTGACATTTGTAAAAGAGACAGCCCAGGTGTCTTGTAGAATGTTCCTCAATTTGGGTGTGTCTGATTGTTTCCTTGTGATTAGACTTGGCTAAGCATTCTGGGCACGAGATCTGCAGAGGGGAGGCTGTGTCTCCCATTGTGTTATATAAGGAGGGGCCTCCTGCCAGTTTGTCTCATCATTGGTAATGCTAAGGTGTGATCATTTGACTAATGTGTTCCCGAAGATCTCTCCATTATAAAGCTAATCTTTCCTTTTGTACATAGTAATTCATCTGTGTGATGAATTATGATATTTGAGATATGTGAGTACCTGTTTCCTCACGAATTTTCACATAGTGATTTTAGCAGCTATTGATGCCTTGCCTGAATCAATTATTGCATTAGTAGCTGCAAATAGAGATTTTTCCCATTATCCTTTCTATGTTCTTCTGTAAAGCTTTCCTCTCCCTTCCCTCTCCCCTGCTTTCGTAGTATCATCATACACAGATTAAAAAACTATTATTATTGTTCGATGTGTTGTAAATCCATTATCATCACTGTTCTTATTTGACGCTCAAATTGTTCCAAGTTTGGCCTCCAGGTAGGGGCCCCTTCAGGTGAACTCTTATGTCCTTCCTACTTTTTAAAAACAATTTGATTGAGGTATAGTTGACACACAATGAATTGCCCATATTTTAATATACGACTTAATAAGTTTTGACATATGTGTACACGCATGAAATCGTCACCGTATTCCAGGGAGTGAACACACCCGTCACAACTAATTCTCCTCAGGTATCTTTGGTTTTTTGTTTTGTTTTGAGACAGACTGTCACTCTGTTGCCCAGGCTGGAGTGCAGTGGTGCGATCTCAGCTCACTGCAACCTCCGCTTCCTGGGTTCAACTGATTTTCATGCCTCAGCCTCCCTAGTAGCTGGGACTACAGGCGCCTGCCACCACGCCCCGCTAATTTTTGTATTTTTAGTAGAGATGGGGTTTCACCATGTTGGTTGGTCATGCTGGTCTCAAACTCCTGGCCTCAAGGGATCCACAGGCCTCGGCCTCCCCAAGTGCTGGGATTACAGGCGTGAGCCACTGCCCCCGGCCCTCCTCGGGTATCTTTGTCATATTCCCCTGCAGCCCTTCACCATCTTGAAGGAACCACTGACTTGCTTTCAGTTACTATAGATTGGTTTGCATTTTTTAGCGTTTTATGTAAATAAAATCATACTCTTTGTGTCTAGTTCCTCTCCCTCAGCATTGTTACTTTGAGACTCACCCATGTTACTGCATGTATGCCTAGTTTTCCTTTGTGTTCTTGAGTAGCATTTGGCTGTGTGGATATACCACAATTCTTTTATCCATGCATTGATATGCAGATGGACAGATGGGTTGTTTCCAGTTTGGGGCTATTATAAATAAAGATGTACTTATCTAAGTCTTTGCATGAACATGGATTTCCTTTTCTTTTGAGTAAGTACCTGGAAGTGAAATGGCTGGAGTTTATGGTTAATTTTTAAGAAATTGCTGAAGTGTTTCAAAAGTGGTAATACCATTTTCCATCCTACCAACAGGGCATAAGAGTTCCAGTTCTTCCTCCTACTTACCAACATAGGTGTGTAGCAAGTAGCACCTTATTGGAGATTTAATTTGATTTTTTTTTTTTTTTTTTTTTGAGACGGAGTCTTGCTCTGTCACCCAGGCTAGAGTGCAGTGGTGTGATCTCGGCTCACTGAAACCTCTGCCTGCCAGGTTCCAGCAATTCTCCTGCCTCAGCCTCCTGGGTAGCTGGGTTTACAGGTGCATGCCACCACGCCCAGCTAATTTTTGTATTTTTAGTAGAGGCGGGGTTTTACCATGTTGGCCAGGCTTGTCTGCAATTCCTGCCCTCAGGTGATCCACCCATCTCGGCCTCCCAAAGTGCTGGGATTACAGGCGTGAGGCACTGTGCCCGGCCTAATTTGATCTTTAAATTTAAATTTAAAATGTTTACAACTTAAGTATAAAACAATTAAATTTAAATTTAAAACTTTTCAATTTAATTTTCCTTGATGGCAAATGATGTTGAGCATCTTTTTATGTGCAGTTTGCCATGCTTATGGTCTCTGGTGACATGTCTATTCAAATCTTTTGCCAGCTTGCGGGGGTGTTTTATTATTATTCAATTTTGACAGTTCTTTATATTCTTGATACAAATTCTTTATTAAATACATGCTTTGTAAAGATTTTCTCCCAGTCTGTTTTGTCTGTTTATTCTTTTAACAGTGTCCCTTGAAATGCAGAAGTTTTTAGGTTTTTTTTTTTTTTTTTGAGATGGAGTCTTGCTCTGTCTTCAAGCTGGAGTGCAGTGGCACTATCTCGGCTCACTGCAACCTCCGCCTCCTGGGTTCAAGCGACTCTCCTGCCTCAGCCTCCTGAGTAGCTGGGAGTACAGGTACGTGCCACCACGACCAGCTAATTTTTGTATTTTTAGTACAGATGGAGTTTCACCATGTTGTCCAGGATAGTCTTGATCTCTTGACCTCGTGATCTGCCTGCCTCAGCCTCTCAAAGTGCTGGGATTACAGGCGTGAGCCACTGCGCCCGGCCGAAATACAGAAGTTTTAAATTTTGATGTGGTTCAATTTATCCATTTGTTCTTTTATAAATTGTGCTTTTGCTGTCATCTAAGAGATATCTGCCAGTGCCATCGGGATTTTCTTGTATGTTTTCTCCTAGAAGTTTTGTCATTTTATATTTAAATCTTTGATCCACTTCGATTTAACTTTTGTATACAGTGTGAGGCATATATTGAGTTTATTTTTTTAAATATAGTTATCTGGTTATTCTAGCACCATTTGTTAAAAACGCTAGCCTTTTTCCACAGCACTGCCTTTGTAACTTTGTCAAAAATCAGTTGTCTAAATACATGTGGATCTAATTTTGGACTCACTATTCTTGTCTGTTGATCTATATGCCTATCTTTATGCCAATACCATGCTGTTCTGATTAATGTAGCTTCATAATACTTCTTCAAATCAGATAGTGTTAGCCCTCTAACTGTTCTTTTTTAGAGTTGTTTTGACCATTTTAGGCCCCTTTACTTTTTTATATGAGTTTTAAAATCAGCTTGTCGACTCCTACAAAAAGAGCCTGCTGAGATTTTGGTGGGGATTCCAGTGAATCTATAGGTGAGTTCAGAGAGAATTGCCATCTTAATGACTTTGAGTTTTCCGGCCCACGAACAAACTATGATTAATTCTTGTTATTCATGGTAGTTATGTTTTGTAAAGTGTCCACGAACACTGAATTAGCAAATACTGAACCATTGATCCCAGGGGAAGTACAGAGTGCAGTTCCTGTGAGCCTCTGGCTCCAACATTCTTGTCCATTGATAATACATTACCTTGCTTTGTGTGCATTTCTCTTTAAAGGCACCTTATGTAATAGCTATTTTCTTTTTTTTTTTTTTTTGAGTGCGATGGCATGATCTTAGCTCACTGCAGCCTCCACCTCCCAGGTTCAAGCGATTCTCCTACCTCAGCCTCCTGAGTAGCTGGGATTACAGGCGTGCACCACCATGCCCAGCTAAGTTTTGTATTATTAGTAGAGATGGGGTTTCACCATGTTGGTCAGGCTGGTCTCAAACTCCTGACCTCAGGTGATCCACCCACCTCGGCCTCCCAAAGTGCTGGGATTATAGGCGTGAGTCACCGTGCCTGGCCTATAGTAGCCACTGTTGATTCATCCACATTCAGCTCACATCCAACAGCACCATAATTCACCCCTGAACGGAGCTTTCCTAACACATGTGTCTTCTCCATGAGGCACACTGCAGCCTCCTTGTATGTGGGAACATGAGGCAGCACTTGGGCACTATATATAGGGACAGTTTAAAGTCACCAGCGAAAAGCATACATGTGAAAAACATGGCACTAAATAGACTGTGGAAAGGATCCTTGTCAACAGTTATAAGACCTGAATCAAGAAGGCAGGGAGTTGCCTTGTATGACTTCAGCTGGGAACGTGAGCATCTGGCTACTCACATTTTTGCTGCCTGTACATGTCTCTGAGTGACTGCTACAGCCCTGTGGTTAGATTTTGGGGTTACAAATAAATTTTAGTGAGTAGGTGAATTTGCAAATACAAAATAGTGAGGATCGACTTATATCTCCTCATTTATTTAAATTTCTTTAATTTTCCCAGCAATATTTTGTAGACCATGCAAATCTTTGATTTCTTTTGCCAGATTTATCCATATGTAGTTCATACTTTTTGATGATATTTTAAATGGGTATTATTTTTTCCATTTCAATTCCTGATTATTTATTGCTAGCATATGGAAATACAATTGATTGTTGTATATGGATCGTGAATCTGGCAACCTTGCCAAATTCACTTAGTTCTAATAGCTTTTTATAGATTTCATTAGATTTTCTACATAGATGATGATGTCATCTGCAAATAAAAACAGTTTTACTTCTCTTAATCTCATGCCTTTTATTTCTTTATTTCTTGACTGATGGCACTGGCTAGAAACGCTAGTACAATGTTGAATGATAAGGGCGGACATCCTTATTCCTGATGTTAGGGGGAAGTTACTCAGTCTTCTACCGTTAGTATGATGTTAGCTGTAGTATTTTCATAAATGCCCAAGGAAGGGCAAACTTGGAAGGAGTTTGGACTTTGTTGGAAAAGCTGTAGTTCAGCCACTGGATAGCGGAGAAGTTTGATGGTGTAGTCAGGCTGGAGCTGGCCTGGAGCTGCTGGGTGAGCAGTAGGCCCTCCAGAGTGTGGTCAAGGAGACAAGGCCTTCAGCAACCACTGTCATGGGCACGCAGCATCATGGACATGCAGTGGGAGTCCAGGCACCAGTGGGAGCAAGAAGTCTTTAGACAATCAGGGCTGAACATGAGCTTGCTCTGCTGCTGGGGATGCGAGACCCCAGCCACAGTCAACTGTGTGCAGGCCACATGAGGGCTTTGGTTTTACGAGGCTGTAGAAAAGTTACCACTAGACTGAGGCTGCAGAGTCGCACAGAAATTGTGTTCTGGGCCTATGGCTAGGGTAGGAATCCACTGCAGACGCCTCCCCCCTCCCCCATGCAGGATATTGTAGGGAGCCTTTTCCTCCTGCAATGTCCTTCCAGCGTCCTCCTAGTGAGGGCTGTAAACCATGCCTAGTGGAATTCTGTTGCTTACCATAGAACATATATTGAAGGAGTGCTTGGAACTGACACAGATGGGCAGAACTTGCTATTTTAACTGTTCTCCAAAGCTGGCTGGAGAGTGGGTGTGAGAGTCTCAAAGGACAGTCCAGGGAAGCGAGTTTGGGACCCTGAGAGCAGAGCACTGGCTGGGTTCCGGGGTGCAAGCAACTGGCTCAGCTCGGCAGGCATCCATGGCTAATCATCTTTTGTTCCCAGATTACTGCTCATTTGATGACCCAGGAAAATACAGTACTACTTTTCTGTGCTGGAATTGGGTGTCCTCCTCTCCCAGGCCCCATCCACAGGTCAGGCTTTGCTGCCTGTCCAGAATTATGCAACACAGATGTCCACACGCTACCTCTCACCAACACAGCTGGGACCAGACCCACCTCTCTTAGCCCCTTAGATCCCTCTTGCCTGGAACAAAAGTTCTCAAGGTATGTCCTTAATATATCCCACACCTGCCTCCACAGCTCTGCCAAGTCTCTTTCAGTATTGTCATCTGGTGCATGGAGTTTTGCACATAGCAGAGGCTCAGGAAACATTTGTGTGATTAGGGGATACAGATCTACATGTATTTCATCTGTGAATCCCCAGTACCTAGCAAAGTACGTGCTCAGTGAATACTTAAGGCGGGCAGGGTGAAAGCAAAGTAAAGCTTTGTAAAAGCAAAGCAAGCTGCTCCACGGACCCATGGAGCAGCTGCGTGGGTCCATTGAAAGAATCAGAGCCTTCTCCCTCGAAGTATTCAAAGCCCTTTATTTGTACTAATGCATTTCACCCTGAGAATAATCCTGTGATGGCATTCTTATCATCTTCCTCATCTTAGAGACAAAGACAACAAAGCCCACAGAAGTTACATCCATTTCTCAGGATCACACAGAAAGTGGCCAACATGGGGCTCTAACCCAGGCTCTGTATTTCAGACCCCACTCTCTTCATCACAAGATACTGCCTCTTCCCACATCTCTTCTATATTCCCAGCCCTAGAAGAGAGCTGACATATAGATGCCATGCATGTTTACTGAATAAATGGTACACCAACAGACAAGGCCTAGGCAGTTTTCTTGTCTTTGCCGAGGTCTGCAGAGCTAATATTAATAATGATAATACCTAGCTGTTATTGGAATGAGCCAGGGGCACACTCCGTGTGGCAGAGCAGCTAGTTGCCTACCCCAACGTCCAGTCTCCCCTTGGCCTTTGTGACAGGACCACTGCCCGTTTCCTGGCCTCCTTGGCTTCAGATGTGGCCATGTGAACAAGTTCTAGCCAATGAGATATAAGTGGAAGTTTGGTTGTGTCTCCAGGAAAGTTACTTAAAAAGAGGGCAAGTTCTCTTCCTCTCTCCCTTTCTGCTGCTATTTGGGATGAGGATGAAATGCCTGAAGCTCCAGCAGCTATCCTGGCCCAGGAGGTGACCTTGAAGATAGAAGCCACTTGTTGAAGACCAGGAGATGGGATCCCTGAAGACTTTGGGTAACCAGCATGAAAGTCCTGGATTGCCACCATTTCATGTGAGAGAGAAACCAAGCTCTAGCTTTTTCTGTGGCTGCTGTTTGGGGTCTACTGTTTGTCCAGCGGTACCTAATCCTCACAGACACAGGTGCGGTTTCCTGTTGTTTTATTTTACTATTTTACTTTATTTTAGAGACACAAATAAAATATCTTGCTCTGGCACCCAGGCTGGAGTGCAGTGGTGTGAACATGGCTCACTACAGCCTCAATCTCCCAGGCTCAAGGGATCCTCTTGCTTCAGGCTCCCAAATAGCTAGGACGACAGGCTCATGCCACCATGCCTGGCTAATTTTTTTATTTTTTGTAGAGACAAGTTCACCCTATGTTGCCCAGGCTGGTCTTGAACTCTTAGGCTCAATGCTCCTCCTGCCTTGGCCTCCCAAAGTGTTGGGATTATAAGCGTGAGCCACCAAGCCTGGCCCAGGTACAGTCATTATCCTCATTTTGCATATGAGGAAACTGAATCCTAAGGAAGTAGAGTAACTTGATTTGAAGCTGGGCAGTCACATGGCAGAGCCCGTGTACGGAACCACTAAACTATAGGTGCCCCCCAGAAGAATGCTAATTGCACGTATTAGGCACTGGGTAAACACTAGTTGGAGGGTGGCTGGGGTCTGCCAGTGTGGGAACTAGGAATGCAGGGGTTTGGCAGTGTCTGTGGTCTGCTGGCTGGGGGAACTGCACTCTGTGTTCTTACCACATTCAAGAGGTTGAGGCCTGGGCCCTACAGCATTTTGGCAGGGCACTCACTGCGGTTATTAAATTCTTCATATTCTGGTCTGTCCTTAAGGAACAGTAGACCAAACACAGGCAATTTCTGGAGGCTTCTACAAGAGGAAAGTGATTCTAGTCCCATGTGAAACAGGGTGGGGCAGCTAAAGTCCTCTGAAAGGGAATTAGGATTTTAGAGCTGCAAAGGTGATCTTAGTTAGCATCTCCCAAAGCGGGCTCTGCAGCATTTCCCCCAAAACACTAGAATTAGAAGATGTTAATAGGTGTTCAATGTAGAAGCATCACGGATCCAAGAAGCCTGAGAAATCGGATTATTGCAGGGCTTCTCAGAGCCATCAGCATGCATTGGCACCTTCTAGGAAGGGAAGGAAATACACAGTATTCCTTAACATCACTTGAAGTTGGAGCTCTTTTATTTGCGAAGCACTTCACAGGATGTCTTTCTGGTTTTTAAAAAATATTATCAATAGATAATATTTATGAATAATTTACTGCATGCCAAGTATTGTGTTATGTAGTATATATGCACTATCTCATTAATTCTCAGAAAAATTTATGAAGTGGGTGCTCGTATTGCCATTTTATAAATGAGAAAACAGGCTCAGAGAGTAACATGGCCAAGGTCACAAGACTAAGTAGTAACGCAGAGGTCAAACCCCTCTGTCTGATTACAGAATCCGCCATGCTGTTACACTCAGGAGGTAACTTGCCACATCCGACACTGTTGGCAGGAGGCCATGATGGATCTGGATTCAGGTATTTTGACTCCTTTTCCAATTACCATTTTGTACTTTGCTGCTTCTAGGTCACGGATGTGCCAGATGGTGGGTGATGCCCATCTCCCCACACTGTACTTCCCTCCCACACACCCAGAGCTGTGACCAAGGGACCAGCTGGGGATGAAGCAGAACCTCTGGGCCTGCCCATCACCAATATGCACATGGCCTCTCCTTCCCCCTATGGACCTGACACATGGACTAGTCCCTGAGCTGAACCCATGTGTCATGGGCCATGCTGTCCAGAAGCCAGCACTCAAAAGCAAGCCCTGGACCACTCTAGGTGTGTGGTTTTTACATTTTTAAATGGTTGAAGACAAACAGAACAATATTTTGCGACAATTTGGTGAAAACTCTGTGAAATCCAAATGTCAGTGCCCATAAATAAAGCTCTACTGGCACACAGCCCTGCTCATTTGTTTACATGGTGTCTATGGCTGCTGTGTGTTAGGACAGCAAAGCGGAGGAGCTGCAGCAGAGGCCCTATGGCATGCAAAGCCTAAAATATTTGCTTTTTGACCCTTCACAGAAAATGTTTGCTGACCCATTTCCAGATGAAAAAAATCAAAGCCCAATAATATAATCATTCACATCTGGTGATTTCCTTCTCAAGTAGCTGGTTTCATTCCTACTTATCAGGGGTTGGCGGGAATGAAGTGGACTGTGACTAAGCCTCAGGAAAGAAGAGAATTTGCAGGCCAGGCACAGGGTGTGGGCCAGGGCTCAGGAGGCCTGGATTCCTATCCTGGCACCGCCCTCTACCCTGCAGGCACCCAAGGAAGTTTATTCTACTGGGTCTGTGAACTAGCATGCTCTGATATGATATGCAATCAATAAATACATATTACGTATTTACTATGTGCCTTCTCAGGCACTGCTTAAGCATATCTATATCTATCTATCTATCTCACATACATACACACAGATTTATATACACACGTGTATATATACAATATATAAAACTTTCTGCTAGTGATAAGTGCTATAAATAAAAATAAAGCATGCTAAAGAGGTGGTGATGGTGAGGTGTTTCTTTAAATAAGGGTGCCGGGAAGGCTCTCTCAGGTGAAATGAGCAAAGACCTATATCAGGCAGTGAAGAAAGAACGCGTTCCGGGTAGCAGAAACAGCCAGTGTGAAGGCCCTGAGACGGAAGTGTCCTGTGTGCTTAAGCAATAAGGTCAAGATGGCTTGGAGGCAGAGCCTGAGGGGGTACTGGGTAGGAAATGGACCTGGGAGGCCACGGAGACAGGGGGTCTGGAGAATATCTTAGGCGTAATAGGAGCCTACAGTGTCCTGTGCCACAGCATGATCTGTTCTGATGATTTAAAATGAAATCTGTTAGTTGGAGACTGGATTGAGGAGTGGAGCTCAATGCCTCAGGATCTCTTTTGGATTCTCAGGGTGAGATATCACAAGGTAAAGACCCCCTGGGAGGCCAGCAGACCCTGCAGCTCTCCAAGTTGAAAGGCTCAAACAGGGTGAGGGCGCCATGCCCACCACGCCCTCAGAACAATGGGTGGTGAGCAGTCTGTCAGGGGGCACTGCAGGCTGAGGGGCTGTGGCATGGCCTGGAAAGGGGCAGGCTCAGGTCAGGCAACAGGGTGGACTGAGTGTGGCCCTTTAGACCTCGCCTCTTCCAAAAGTCTCCCCAAGGGCCCTTGGGTTGCAATGGGGCCTTCTCCAAGCTCCACAGCCCCTGGAGCTTCCCTCTCTGTTATACCTGGCATGCTATGAGGATGTACCTGTCTTCTGACTCCCCTTCCGTGGGCCAGGAGCTCCTTGCTGGCAAGGCCTGTCTGACTCAGAGCACTGAGTAGGTGGCTGGGAGTGGGTATTAATCCAACGACTACGGCAGAGGCTGGAGCTGGACAGCCAGCAGCGGCTTAGGAGAGGAAGATCAGTGAGGGCCCGGATGTCTAGCTTCTTCCACTGGCATGGACACTGGCCTGGTCCTGTATTCCAGATCCTTCCCTCCAGGGTCTGGGTGACACACCTCAGACCTTGTATTACAGTGATACATCCCACGTTCCTCACCATTCATCTTTGAGCCCTGCCTTAACTCTGTAGGACACAGGGAAAGGAGATGCTCACTGAAGGGGTGCCCGCCAAACATTTTGCAGGTAAAATCTTTAGTCCTGCGAAGTGAGTATTTATACTTTGTAAATGAGAAAATAAAGTCAGAAAGGTGATCTGCCTCAAAGAGCCAGTAAAGATCAGAGCCTGTTTGTGTTCTTTATACCATCCTAGGCACAGGCTATGCCCCCGGCAGTTGCTGGATGCATCAGTGTCTGGGTCAAGAGTCTAAAGCATCTACTGTCTATTCTCCCCTTATCCGCTATTAACCCGTAGTACAATGGTGTAGACCTAGCCTATAACAACTTGTGACCACTTTACACCCACTCAATTGACTACAATAAAAAAGACAATATAGCAAAAATGTGGGGCAACAGGAACCCTAGTGCATTGCCGGTGGGAATGGACAACGGTGCAGCCACTCCGGAAAAGCCTGGCAGGTCCCAAAAAACTAAACAGTGATTATATGACCCAGCAATTCCACTGCTTGGTATATACCCAAGGAAATGAAAAACATGGAAGGACTAGGAAGTGACTGCCAGCAGGCATGGATTTTTTTTTTTTTTTCTTTTGAGGAGATGTTCCGGTATTAGCTAGTGTAATGGCTGCCCAACTCTGTACATGTACTAAAAACCACTGAATTGCACTCTTCAGAAGGATGAATTCTCTAAAAAAATCTGTTAATAAGAAAACAAATTTGTTGGCTGTCCTTCAAGCTCCAGGTTATCGCCCAGGCTAAGGACAGAAGTATCCTTTTCTGGAAGCCCCATCCCCAGCAGCCACTGGGCACCAACTCTTGGGCCCAGAATGTAGCTTATTCACTCGCAGATTAGGCAAGCCAGTCTTCTCTTTTCTTCTAACTTACACATTCCTAAGTCCTGACTCCATCCTCCTGCAGGAGTTGTATTTGTCCTGGGTTCCCCGGGTCTCCCTGGGACAGCCCCTGAATGATGGGCTCCACAGTCAACATCAACCCTCACCAGACTGGGCAGCCTCACCAAAGCTGCGCGATGCCAGGAGTTGGGGCTTAGTGCTCAGCAGACTCCGGAAGAATCCCAAACCTGTCTCTTTGGGAAAATCAAAAAACCATTTCAGTGCCTACTATGTGCTGGGCCCAATATTAGGTTCTTATTTAGCCTGCAACTTGTCTGAAGGTAGCTGTCATCACCCCCACTTTCGTTGAGGAAGTAGATGTTCAGCGAGGCTCAGTTACCTGTCCCGGCTGGCAAGTGGCGGGAGCTCTTTCCCCAGCCCGCCTGGCACTCACCCAGCAGTCTTGATTTCTCTGGGTTTTAGTTCTCTTATGCGTAGAGGAGCATACATCACACCTGCTATGCAGTACGATGGTCACAAAAACATGTGGCTTTTCATAAATTCCAGTCCCTGGTCCTCATGGAATGTGGCTTTTGTTGGCCCAGGCAGAAAGGGAGATGGACTATGTGCTCTTTTTCCCATTCCCAACCCAACCAGGATGGCCTGGCTTGATTGGACCCCTTTGCTTTTTGGACACGGGTGCTACCAACCTCAGGCCACTGACCTGACCTCTGACCTCTCATGGAACCGACCTCTCTGCTGAGCTTTTCCAAAACTTGATCCTTACACCTTTACTGCTGTGGTATGGAGACCCCCCCTTTTTAGCTCTTTGTTAAAACTCTCTCAAAGGCAGAACTTGCAGAACCACAGGGTTGGGGGTTGAGGGGGCTTCTGAGATGTCTGGAGGAGGGGCCCACAATGTTTGCTTAGGCCCCGGACCCCCTGGAAGGGCAGACTAGGCTTAGTTTGGATCCAGGATCCCCCAGTGGCAGCTGCACGATTTCAGATAGCTTCCTGCACTTCCAAGTGCTGGTTTCTCAGGTGTAGAATGGGAAGGTCAGTCAAAGGCCATCAGGCAGCTTCTTCAAGCACGGGGACATGGAAACGGCCAAGGATCCTTCTCTCCCACCACCCACCAGCTGGGATGGGGGGCTGCGCATGGGCTGGCCTTGCCACCCTCCCAAACAGGGGCAACAAACCACAAAACACTCTTTTTCAAATCACATATGGCTTCTTTGACCCCATCAAATAACTTTATTCACACAAACGTCCCTTAATTTACAAAGCCTCAGTCATTCATACACATTAGGGGATCCACAGTGTTCAAGGAACTTAAATATAATGTATCATACCAACCCAAGTAAACCAAGTACAAAAAATATTCATATAAAGTTGTTCACACGTAGGTCCTAGATTACCAGCTTCTGTGCAAAAAAAGGAAATGAAGAAAAATAGATTTATTAACTAGTATTGGAAACTAACTTTGTGCCTGGCTTAAAACCTCCCTCACGCTCGTCTGTCCCACACAAATGTTTAAGAAGTCACTGCAATGTACTCCCCGGCTCTGATGAAAAGAAGCCCCTGGCACAAAAGATTCCAGTGCCCCTGAAGAGGCTCCCTTCCTCCTGTGGGCTCTCCTAGAAAACCAGCGGGACGGCCTCCCTGCTGATACCGTCTATAACCTTAGGGGGCCCTCGGGCAGGCAACGGCAGTGGACTCATCTCGGTGATGGCTGTAGATGCTAACACTGGCCAATTCAATGCCACACCTACTGGTTACCCTTTGAGGGCATTTCTCCAGACAGAAGCCCCTTGAAGCCTAGGTAGGGCAGGATCAGAGATACACCCGTGTTGTCTCGAAGGCTGTGCCACAGCCCAGTACGACAGCTTGGCAGAGCCAGTATCTCTGGACTTCTGCCTCCAAAACCCAGTGGCCTGAAGAGCTAAACAATGTCAGCTTGGCTCTTCCAAGGTTGCCAGGGCCGAGACTCCCAGGAGCTACGTCTGTCTGGGGGCTGCCAGACAGGCCTAGGAGGGAAAACCAGCCAAGGGGAGGGATAGTCTGAGACCAACCTAGAGTAAGTGCCACCAGCGCCCCCAGATGTCGGGGGAAGAGGGGCGTATGGGCAGGATGGAAAGTGGGAGCTGCACTTGGTGGGCAGGGCTGGAAGGAGCCATATGGAACCAGGCAAGGGCAGAACGTTAGGGTCCCTCCTTAGGGGGTGGCAGCCTGACTCCTGCTTTTCTAAGTTTCCAAAAGATACCCCAAGGCTAAAACCCAGACATCCATCCTATTAGGATGTCTTCTAAGAAGGTAAACAGCTAACAGCATAAAAAGAAAATTCCCACAATGCCAGCTCTTTTCCTTCTCTTAGAAAAAGATTCAAGCAAAAATAATCATCTTATTGCTCCAAACACTGGTTTTCTAGGCTAGGAGACAACTGATATGTTAAGGAGCTGAGATCTTGGAGGAGGGGAATGTGGAGGTGGGGAATGTGCAGGGCGAGGAGGCCGTAGGGAAGGCGGGGAGTGGTCCTAGCACCACAGGGTTGGGAGCAGAGGGAGCGGAGGGCGTTTGCCCCTGCCCCGGGCATCTCTGCCCTCATTCGCTCTGGGGCCCCCCGGCAGTGCCACTAAGGAGGCCAGGCCCTGTCCAGAGTCAAATCTCCACTCAGTGTTGGGTGTTTCTCCTCTGGCTGTAAACAGGGTGTTTCTTAAGTAAACATTTAGTATACTCCCTCAGAAAGGCAGCCACAGGGGCAAACTATGTCCAGGTGGGAGGAAAAAAATTCCCATTCTCCTGATCCAATGCCTCTGGGACGAGACGAGGCTAAGGCCTGCAACCTTAGTCCCCAGTGCCCAGAGAAGGTTCAGACGGGGCCAGTCTCGAATGAACAGACTGAGGCATCCTCCTGGCTAGAGGTAAGAGGCAGAGAGTGTGCACCTGTCCAAAGCACAGTTTTTCTGTCCTGGGCTATAGCTGCGAGTGAGTGCCCTGGTGGTGGTGGGGAGATGCGGACCTGGCTACAGCCCTCAGGAAGAGGGTGTTGGGGGTGAGGGTGATCCCTCCCCCGTGGCTCTCTGGGAATGAGAGAGAGAGTGAAAGAGCAAGTGACAGAGGACACAGATAGGGAGAAAGAAGCCATGCACTTCCAGCTGAGCCAGGAGGCCTGGCCAGGGGAGGACAATGGAATAAGGCACTACGATCTGTCCTGCTGATTCTTCTGACGGGAAAACCAAGTTCAGATCCCTAACAGCCGAGGTCAAGAGTCCCCCTCCAAAGGGCTATCCTTGCCACAGAGCCGAGGAGAACAAATGACTGCCGTTTGAAGTTTTGAATACTACTAGAACTTGGGCAGGTCCTACAAACTTGGTGGTGTTGAGACGATGCACCAGAGAGCTGCTGGCAGCCTGAGACCCAGTGAAGACGCAGGAGGGGGGACGTGACAGTGAGTGGAAGCTGGTCCACAAGGGGACAGTGGAGAGTGGCACTGAAACTACAGGTGCTACCCGGGGCTGAGCCACGGCCAGTTCTCTCACCACGGCGGAGCCCGCTGAGTGCCTGAGGTGGGCAAGTGTTTGAGAAAGCAGGGGAGGGGTAAGAAGCAAGGGCAGGCACTTGGGGCTAAAACGCTGGCCTGCATTTATGCTATGGAAAGAGGTCGTGCCACTAAGCAAGAACTGGAAGATGAGGGGGCATGGAGGCTGGCGACCCCTACCAGGCTGCCCACCTGTCACCTACAGGGGTGCTGTTTCTTGCTACTCTGATAGCAAGAAAAATAACAAAGGGGGAGCACGATGGCTCCAAGAACTTTTTAGTTAGAGCTACTAGACCTGGGGAGGGAAAAAAAAGAAAATAAGGGGCTCATTAGGCTGGAGCCTCACTAGGGATGTTACAGTGTGGGCTGCAGCCAGGGAGAGGGGGGTGCTGGGTTTGGGGACTGTTTTTGCCCATTTGCTCATGTACAGAGAGACAGCTGCCCCCAAGGAAAGGCAGGGTGGCGGGCGGAAAAGGAACCGTGTACTGCAATTAGGGGATGCTGCTGTTCCCACCCTCTCGGATACAACTCAGTGCACTCAGGAGGCTGCCTGAGAAGTCAGAGACAGGAGAGACAGGCAGTCACAATGGGTTTTGGCTTAGGAAGGGAAGGGCCTGGTTATCACTGTGGGATCCTGCTAACAGCAGCCAACCTTCTGCTCACAAGGAAGAAAGTTTGGTGTTGAGGGGGGTGACAGAAGGCTGAAAGAATGTGAGCAAACATATTGCTGAGCCTGGCCTGATGCACTGTTCTCTCCCAAATTCTCAGGGCCAAAGGATTGCCGCTTAGCAGGTAAAAGCCCCTGCTGCCTTGGTCACATAGAAACGGAAATGCCCGCCAACCGTCTCCCCTATCAATCCTATGCTGGTTTAGGTGAAACAGAAAACAAAAATGAACACAAAATGATTCCCTTCCCCCTCCCCAGTGGCCCTATACTATTTGGCCATAATGGGGTGAAAAGCCTTCGGAGTGGCCAGGCGCGTCCAGACAGAGGGACAACACAAGAGCATTGCCCCTTCTTGCAGGGGGAGAACAGATGGGCTCAGAGCAGCAGCCCAGGGGGAGGGAAGCTTCCCCTAGGGAGGTGCGAGAGTGTCGCTGGAGAGTGCAAGGATGGCTGCAGCAGACAGGCATGGGTGGCGGGGCTGAAGTGTCATGGCTGGGGAAGCCTGAAGGTGGCGAGCCCACAAATGGGCCCCTAACGCTGCAGGGGGTCTACCCAGTTCCACGACACCTCCCTGCTCTGGGCAGGTCCGCTGTTTTCCCATTGGATACGTCTATACTGAGGGCAGGCACCTAACAGTAAGTCTCCAGGGGTGAGGGAAATGGCGCTTGACAGTGTGTGTCACTGCATATGACACCATGGACCCCGGCACACAGGGCACGCCCTTCACTGTGAGAACACGACAACGGCAGCCAGTTCAGGACACCCTGTTATCATGGCAAAGTCACAACCAGATCTTAGGGCCTCAGGCCGTCTCTGTGACACCTGGACACTATGGGACACATCTGGGAAGATGACAATCCAGGAGGCAGTTAGGTGAGAAGCGCTGACCTCACGGCAGTGACAGATGCCTGCTGAAGACCCAGCTGTGTTCCACACAAGAGTTTGGCACAACAGTTTTTCCCAACAGAAAGGCAGGGATGGCTGCTCCACCGCCAGCAAGAGCGAGATGGTCGCCCTCCACCCTTACCTCCTAGTTCCCTGCAACACAGGGCAGAAGAGGAATGGATTCCCACCACTGCAAGTCCTGGTGTGGCCTGGGGCTCTCAATAGCTTAAACACAACAAAGCCTGGAGTTGAGACCTTCTTAGTTCTCCTGGCCAAACCCTGGCCTTCCTCTTCCAGGCGGTTCTTCACCTCTGATCATCTCCGAGGCCCAAGGGCTAGCCAGGGCCAGCCCACCAAGGAGTCCAGGAGTTCCTGCATCTGGTAGGGAGGCGTGGCCCAGAGGCCTCCTTGTGTCCTCACGCCCCGTTCCAGAAGAAACCCCCAGATTCCCTATGGGGAGGCAGGCCTTCTCTAGGGAAGTGAGGTGTCATAAGTAGAACTGAGAAAAGTATAAAGAAGGAAGACAGAGGGAAAGTGAAGGACAAAACCAAAAATAGCTCCCTAACCCCTTATAAAAAGTAAAAGTGAAATTTACACATATGCCTTGCCCACATTGAATTTCTTTAAAGAAATTGGTGCCTGTCCACAGCATTGTGTCCTGCTCTTCTGAAGTCTCAATGGTTTAAATTTAAAAAAAGGAAAGAGGAAAAAAAAAAAAGAAAAGAAAAGGAAAAAAATAAAGCAAAACTAAAAAGAAGCGGGGAAACCCAAACAAAAGCTTCACATTGCCGGATCCAGCTGTCGGGAGATCGCCAACCGGCCAGGCCACCACCTGTACCCTCTGCCGTCCTCTGGAGGAGACGTGGTGAGACTGTGGGTCCCGAGGAATCGACCTGGAAGACAGAAGGCGGGTAAGGAGGGGACATTGGTCAGCAGGCCTGGGCACCAGCCCTCAACCCAGAGGAACACTGAAGCTGTGTGTGCTGGGGGCTGTGGGGCAGAGCTCTAAAGAGATGGGGTAAATCTAGCTTCACAACCTCCCTGGTCTTATTCACACATGCTTATTTTTCAGATAGGGAAACTGAGGCTCAGGTTAAGTAACTTACCCAAGGGCACACTGACTAAGGGGCAGACACTAGCTGGGAACCCAAGCTTGCTGGCTCTAGCTGTCAAACCAATCTTGAACCCTGGCTTCCCCGTACTATTAGGAGCAAGACACCGCAGGGCCCACCCTGGATAGTCTGTCCCCACAGACCTTGCCAGCACTGCTTCCACTCATGCTTTCTTCCCCACTCTCTGTGATTAATTGTGCTGTTTGTTAGAAACGCCACAGCAACCCTCTCTAGGTTCAGTAATCCTGTTTTACAGAAGAGAAGAGTGAAGCTCAGGCCTCTGAGAATCCGAACCAGGCTACCTGCTCAGGTCTTAACATGGGCCAGAATCCCACACCCAGGGGCAGGGCTGGACTGGGCCTGCACTGTCTGCTGCAGTGCACTGTGGGGGTTAAGAACGAGGGCTCTGGAGCCAGAACGGGCAACTGAGTAAACAGGAGCTGCCCCTCGACTGTGGGGGAATTTAAGTCCTCTGTTCCCTGGTCTCATCACCTGTACCTGCGTCACAGGCTATTATGAAGATTAAATGAACGTAAAACCAAGAAGAGTGCCTGATCCTATTAGTGTTGGCTATTATTTGGAAACTGCCTTAGTGCCAGGCCTCAGGAATAAGACAAGAAGCCTGCCCTTCAGTGGCTTATTCTACTGGAGGCCTAGAATACAAGGGCCCACAGAGATTAGTCTTGGGCAGCGCCCACTCTGAGCTATCGGATCAGTGCTAAGTATAGCGCTGTCCTGGGCAGGGCGGGCCATCTAGGGCAACAGTGCTCCAGCCTCGTTGCACATGGAATCATCTAGGAGGTTTTTTGAGACAGGGTCTTGCTCTGTCACCCAGGCTGGAGTACAGTGCCTTGATCACAGCTCACTGCAACCTTGAACTCCTGTGCTCTAGTGATCCTCCCACCTCAGCCTCCTGAGTAGCTGTGACTACAGGGCACATGCCACCACGCCAGGCTAATTTTTATATTTTTAGTAGAGACGACGTTTTGTCATGTTGTCCAGGCTGGTCTTGAACTCCTGGGCTCAAGTGATCCACCTACCTTGGCCCATCTAGGAGTTTTTAAAGTGCCCGAATGACCAAAGCAGACAAGTCTTTCACTGTGCGTGCCTTTCTTTGTCAGGCAGAGCCAGCACCGTGGCTGCCATGACTTGCCACCTGTGCGGGCTGACAACACCAGCTCGTTGTCCTCAGCTCCTGGGAAGGGACCTGGCCAGTCCTCCCAAGAGGCAGCAGGATAGGACAATATTGGATAATTTACTGTCTGTTGGCCTCAGTTTCTCCCTCTGAGCACTGGGGACTCTTGGTTGAGGTCTGGGTGGAATGACTCAGGTTCCTGGCCCACAGCAGGGACAAACATACTCAATGACTCTACCCCTTCCTGGCCAACTGTCCCCAACCAGAGACTATAAACGTGTTAAATCTGAACAGGCCATGGTTCTCAGCCACGCAACCACTGAAAGTGTTTCTGGCTGGTGAGGGTGCCCCGCACACTGCTGGAGGAGGGGATAAGGCTTCTGGAAGGTAGTCTGGCACTGTTTTTAGGGCTTCAAAGGTGTTTAGATTGGTAGCTCCCTGAAATTCTACTCCTGAAAGCCAAGCTTAACAGATAAACCTAAATATGAAAAGAACTTTATGGATAAAGAAGTTCACTGAAATATAACAACTCACAAGTCCAAAAATAAGGATTAAGTAAGCAAATGATCCTTCAACGCACTGATATACTACAGAGGAAATGAGATCATTGCATGACATTTTGAAGATTATGACAAAAGCACTTCCCTGGGGTAGGTGGAAAAGGGTAGGTTACAAAGTTGTGTAGCGCACAGCATGACCATAACTATGTAAAAACACAAACCCCTCAGTGTAGGAAAATCTGACAATAAATACACCAACATGTTGTGCTTGTTGTGACTGGATTTTCCTCTTCCCTCACTTCTGATTTTTAATAATGAACACACACCAATGTTATATTTTAGTTTTTAATAGGAAAAATAGGGTACTTTAATGAACAAGAAAAGCTGGCAGCTCCAATAGAAAGGTCCAGATGTGGGGTCTTGTCTGGACTCTTCCATGCCCAGTGGACAAAGGAGAGCTTCCACACTGCCAAACGGGAGGTTAGACTATGTGACTCCCTGCTCTACTGCCCAGGGAGCGGGTGACCAAGAAAGTGGGTGTGGCTGATCTGGAAAGAAAATACAGGATTTCTCGGGCCCAGTCTTTCACTCTGCTGCTTCTGTTCCTTGGTCTGTTAATTCCCCTCAAAAAAATCCACTTGTGGGTCTTGTATCCCAGTTTTTGACTTGGAAAAAGAAAATCATCATAAACATATTCCCTGATGATTCAGCAGCCATCTCAAACTCTAGCTCTATTTAGCATGCCTATTGCTTTCTCTCCGTGCTTTCCGTAGACACAGCAGATCAACCTGAAGATGGGGGAAGAGGGTATTTAGGGTAGGCCCTCACCATCTGAGACATTAAGACCTTGTGAAATACGATGAGAAATTATACAGCCACATGTGATGTGCTAAAATAATCTTTGGGACCAGTTATGACTTTCCAGCATTCCTTTCCTCCCTCCCTGCGGACAATCTCCTGAAAAGGATGCCCATCAGCAGGAAGGTAGCATGTGGCAGCTGAAAAGCAGTGTTGGCAAGGAGGCAGGTTCAGAAACCAGAGGTTCCTTTTTACATAATAAACTAGCAGAACACAGTGTGACTACAGAAGGTCAGACCAACAGCACAGCACTCTGCAAGAACTCCTGAGACACCAGCTTGTAATGACCGCTGTAATCACTGGGTCCCATGCCAGGAAGTGAAGCTGACATTTCCCAAAGGCTCCTCCCTGCTCCCTCTAGCTCTGGCACTGGCTCTGGCCCTCCTGTTGGAAGCCTCAGAACAGCCTACAGGTCTGAGTCTGGTTCTCTCTTGTGGGCACAAAGAAGGAAAATAAGAGGGCTCTCTACTGGGGAGAGGATCTTGGCTTGGGGTTCTTTTCCCATCTGCCATCACAGAAAGAGCATTTTTCCCAGGGAGCTAACAGCACAGTAAGCTCACCGAAGGTAGTGGAGGCGCTTTCTGTAGCTATGAACAGGAATGGCTCAGACCACATGGTTCTGAGTTTAAGCACAGACCCTCCCAGGTACTTGTGGGCACAATAAAGGGTGTAGGTCTCAGCCCCAGTGGGCCCTTGGGGAGGCCTTAGGCTTGTGGTGCTTCATCCTAGCAGATGCCACATCTCAGCTCCCTGACTGCTCAGGCTGTGCCTGACTGCCTGGCTACCAGCTTCTACCGGGGCTCTTCTCATTCCTCTCTGTGGAACCCCTACCTCTGACCAGAGCCCGCTCCTTGAGGGCAAAAATCACACCTGCTAAGCATAATGAAAAGTGGTGATGTGATAAACCTGCAACTGACATCTGTAGTGCCCTTCCATGATTACTGTGAGGAGGGATTTGGCCAGTTTTCACAAGAAAACAGGCCCAGAGAAATGGAGCAACTTGCCCCACACCAGAGTTGCTGAGCAGTAGAACCAGCACTTAATCCAAAGTTTTCCAGCTTTACTACCCAAAGTCTCTGCACTATGATAGTCTTCAATCAGTGCTTCCAAAGCCGGCTCAGCAATGGTTCCAGTAGCTTGCACCTGAGATGACCTTGGGGGTGGAAGGTGTCAGTGATCTGGGAAAATGTGCTATGAATCCTTACCTTTCTCATTTCAGCTCTTGGACCAAGTTCTCTCAGTGCACCCCACCTTCTTATTTCTCTGTAACTGGCGTAACAGCAATCACTTATTGAGCAGTCTGTCTGTGCAAGTTCTAACTGTGTTATAGGCAACAACCTCGTAAAGCAACACTGCTTTCCAATCACTGTTAAAGGATCGAGTGTTTTACATCCATTGCCTCATTTCACCCCAGCAACCCTAAGAGGTAGGGGTTATCGTCCCCCTCGTCTTAGAGATGAGAAAACTGAAGCTCAGAGAGAACAGCCTCATAGACAGTAAGTGGTAGAGAAAAGGGTTTAACTCAGGGCAGTCTCACTCCAAATCCCCTGCTTTTGACATGTAACGATGCAAAATCCCTTCCTAGAGAAGACAAGAAGAGTCTTAAGTGGAGTTTAAAACCCATCTAATCCCTTCATTTATAAATAGACTCACTCAGAAAAAAGGCTCATGGAAGGCTTACGTGCCTGTGCACAGGTCTAGTGCTCGGGGGACAAAAGGGGACATGGTGCCAACCAGGCAGTGAACGGTCTTCCAGCAAGCTTCTCTGCCAGTCAGGCAGGTGTCTGGTCTGTTTAAGAAGACTGAGAAACTGAACTACTTTCATGAAGGCCATTAGCAGCTTGGAGAACAGAAGCCTGGGAGATATGAGGGGAACATGCACAGCAGGATGGGGCTGGAGACAAGGATGGCTCACGTGTTCACCTCCTTCCCCTACTCCTCAGCCTGCAGGCACAGAATACCTTGGTGATTATCCCTTACTCTAAAAGGATGGCCTTCCTACTTTATTAGTGTCAAAATGTCATTACCTTTTGCTTTCTTTTCTAAGACACAGGGTCTCACTCTGTCACCCAAGCTGGAGTACAGTGGCACAACCATAGCTCACTGCAGCATTAAATTCCTGGGCTCAACAACCCTCCTGCCTCAGCCTCCTGAGCAGCTGGGATTATAGGTACATGCCACTACACCTGGCTAGATTTAATTTTTATTTTTGTAGGGACGGGGTCTCATTATGTGGCCCAGGCTGGTCTCAAACTCCTGGCTTCGCTCATGCAATCCTCCTGCCTTGGTCTCCCAAAGTGCTGGGATTATTACAGGCATGAGCTACCATGCCTGGCCTAAAACATCATTTCTTTGATGAAATGATGATGAAAGTAAGTAGGAATGGTTTTAAAAATTGCTTCCCTCCTGGACCTGCCTCCCCAGTTTTTAAAATTGCACCATCTTAGGAAATGTGGAAGTCTGGTAACCACGAGGTTTATCGTCACTCCAGTGCTCCCTCAGGGAAGAACACAGGCTCTATGGCAGACAGTCCTGGTTCAAATGCAAGCTCTGCCATTTACTAGCTACTTCCATGATCTCCTTCTCCTAAACTAGAAAATGGGCATGGAACTCTTTCCTCTTCAGGGGCCTGCTGTGAAGAGTGAAGAATTCTTCAAGTAAATTGCCTGTCATGGCACCTGACCCAGGGTGGGGCATTCAGTAAGATCGATCTTGCTGTCATTCATGTTAATGGTCATTTTGGTTCTTAGGGTATCACAGACTGGGACTTCAAACCCAAAGCCCAATTTTCTCTTTCTATCCTGACTCTCAGATTTAGTTAATAGAAAAGAAAGTCATCCCATTGGCATACTCATAGACTAAGGTACAGTATAAACTCAAAGTGGGGTATTATTGGGTGGCTAGCCAAGAATTCACTCCTACCTAAATTCACCCGCAGTCCTGTGTAGTGGCATTATCACTGTAGCTAATGATACCTATGACATGCTAGCTGCCGTGCAAACTGAATATGCAACACCTCATTTGTCCAAAGGACCATGTAAGAATTATCCTCATTTTACAGATGAGCAAACTGAGGCTCAGGTTATTAATTTTCAGCATATCGTGCTGTGGAGCAAGCAGGCCTCACAAGTGCACAGAGGCAAAGTCATCTGTCAGGGTCACAGACGGCAGTCCTCTCCTTCCTCTAAGTGGGGTTAGTCATTCTTCACTTGTTTAATACACCAAAGCATCTGGCTTTTCACATTCAGACATCAACATGCCAGCCCTGGGGGTTCGGTGGCCCCAGCACGAATGTCTCCTCCAATCACTCAGAGGCACCAAGGCCAGGGAGTCACGCTTCCTGATGCATCATTCCTCTAAGGCTGCACTCCCAACTGTGGTGCTTAAAGTAGGGCAAAAACAGGGATGACTGTGCTGTGAACGTGCCTGTTGTCAGGGTCGAAGGAATGGGAGTACTGACAAATGGGATAACACTGTTTTCAGTCTTCGGGTATACAGAACGGGCAAAATGTTAGGAAAAAGAGGAGCAAGAGGGCAGAGATTATACAACATATACAACAGGAGCTTCGCAGTGCTCCATGACAACCCAGAAGACCACAGGTCCACGCCTTACGACATCTGAGCCCTGACCAGGAGACCAAACCAAGGCAGCTCACCCACAGGCAGATATCCAGGGGCAGGCCCCAAATGCAGAGGAGCGTGGCTTGGAGGTGGTGTTCTCTCAAGGCATGGGCTTTGGAGTAGGAAGATCCAAAATTTACATCCCAGCTGACCTTCACCAAGTCAGGGTCCCCCGAGCCTCAGTTTGCTCAGCCTAAAATGAGGAAATGTCTACTTTGCCGGGTACAAAGACCAGTGATAGTACACATAGCAGGTGGAGTGAGGTGCACAGGAGGTACTTTAATAAGCTACAACAGTGGCTGCAAATCACATCCAAAAAAACACAAAACCAAACCCATAAAACCTCACTGCAGTCACTTGCCAGGGCAAAAATTCCAGAAAAGATGCCTTGGCCTCAAGTTGATCTTCTCTTGAGGTGACAGCCTCCCTCCTGCTTTGGGTCTTCAGCTCCTGCTGATCTGGCTACCCCAACTCCCACCCCCTATCTGTCACTCAGATCGCATTCACCCTTTGGGTTCCCATCCACACGCCTTCCCCAGGAAACACTCCCAGAGGGCCCAGTCTCTATGGGAACTCTTCTGTCCCCCTGCCCAGTGAAAAGGCATGGACGACCTCAGATCCCACTAGCCTTGTCGTGTGCTCCAACCTTACCATCTTAGACCCTGAGCTTCCTGCAGGACAGAGAGAGTCTGCTGCTTTTCTTAAGCCTCTCAGGTGACCAAGCAGCAGTGCTGGGTTTTTAGGAAGAGCTCAAATACCAGGTGATAGCTAGAAACTGGGAATTAGTACATAGCAATAAAACTTCACAGAATCATTCATTCCACATGATAGGGTTTTAACATAAACACATGATTATAAAAAAATCTCTGCCTTTGGTTGAGTTCCTGCATCA
This sequence comes from Homo sapiens, assembly GCF_000001405.40. Taxonomy (NCBI): domain Eukaryota; kingdom Metazoa; phylum Chordata; class Mammalia; order Primates; family Hominidae; genus Homo; species Homo sapiens. The sequence continues at coordinate 2,136,558 of NC_000020.11, read as the reverse complement.
CTGCCAAGTGCTCTGCACACGTTCCCACTGAAAATCCCGGCAAGCCAGGTGTGGACAGTGATGCTCAGAGAGCTGGGCCACTTCTCCAAACTCCAGCAGCTGGTAAGGGACAGAGCTGGGACCGTGTCCAAGTCGGAAGCCCATGCTATTTTTCTACCATGCTACAGGGTGCTGCTCCCCTCTCTCACACCTTCAGAGCTGGGTGAGAGAAATGAGGCATGCAGGGATTACAGATTTTCCTGACATTACATAGCCTATCAGTTACACAACCAGGGGGCTCCTGTCTCGATTTCAGCTCTCTCTGCTACTATTCCCCTTACTGACTTCTCAACAGGAGGCCTTCTTTCAAGGGGAAGAAGACGGCCAACTTTGGCAAATACATCTGTTTCACGTGGAGGGGTTCCTTGAAATCCAAGTGTGGCTATTTGGAGCAGGCCCGGCCTCAGAATGTGTCCCCTGAGTCTAAGTTAGGTATGGTAAGAGGTTAATGAAAAGAGTAGACTTATGACTGGAGCACTATGGTTTAGTCTGAAAGTATGGACTTCCCAAGATGGCTTTTTTTTCTGAGATAGGGCCTTGCTCTGTCAGGCTGGAGTGCAAAGGCATGATCCTGGCTCACTGCAGCCTTGACTTCCCTGGCTTAAGTGATCCTTCCGCCTCAGTTTCCTGAGTAGGGACCACAGGTGCATGCCACTGTGCCCAGCTAATTAGTCTTATTAGTCTTGCTGTCGCCCAAGCTGGAGCGCAGCAGTGCAATCTCGGCTCACTGCAACCTCCACCTCCTGGGTTCAAGTGATTCTCCTGAGTAGCTGGGAAGACAGGCGCGCACCACCACGCCCGGCTAATTTTTGTATTTTTAGTAGAGACAGGGTTTCGCCATGTTGGCCAAGCTGGTCTTGAACTCCTGGGGTCAAGTGATCCTCCTGCCTTGGCCTCCCAAAGTGCTGGGATTACAGGTGTGAGCCACAACGCCCTGCCCAAGATCTTAAAATGCACAAAGCCTCTTTCTAGACCCAACCATTTGTAAAATGGCAAATATATCCTATAAGTCTCTTTAGCTAACAAGTGGTCCAGGAAGTGGAATCCTGGCTGAAGTCCTGCCAGATATGTTGGACTGCTGGAGGACTCCCATATGCCACATTCAAAACACATGGATTGTTGAAAGAGGCGGCTGGGGCAGCCCTACAAGGAACTGAGCACCACCAGCCCCTGCTCAGCAGGGGTCCACCCTTTACCTAGCCACCCCCTGCCACCATCTTCCACATTCTGTTCACCCACTTAAGTGTATCCAGAGGAAGCCAGTCCCACGGATTCTCTGAAAGGCAGACAGACTGTCGCCCAGGCTATAAAAGCACAGATGCAATCATAGGAATGTGCTCCCAGGAGGCAACCTACTAAGAGGAACTGAAGTGAAACACGGGAAGATGAAGGATCTTGCCTGTTGCTAAGAGTAAATGTGGGAAACCTGGTTCCAGGCCCCTCTAGCTCTCTCCCTACTCCCCCTCTGGAGACTTCATTTCTTCCCCTGCCAAATGAAGGACCTGGGGCCAGCACAGGGGTTCTTAACCTGGACTCCTTCTAACCCCAAGGATGCACAGGTTCTGCAAAGCCCCTTAGGGCTGGGAAGTTTAATGCATATCCCAGGCATTTTTTTTTCTTTTCTTTTTTGACACAGAGTCTCACTCTGTTGCCCAGGCTGGAGTGCAATGACACAATCTCGGCTCACTGCAACCTCCACCTCCCGGGTTCAAGCGATTCTCCTGCCTCAGCCTCCCGAGTAGCTGGGATTACAGGCGTGTGCCATGACGCCCGGCTAATTTTTGTATTTTTAGTAGAGATGGGGTTTCACCATGTTGGCAAGGCTGGTCTTGAACTCCTTACCTCAGGTGATTTGCCAGCCTCGGCCTCCCAAAGTGCTGGGATTACAGGCCTGAGCCACCGCGCCAGGCCCCAGGCATTTTTTAAATGGTAGAATAACACACCATTCAGGTTCTGAGAAAGGAACATGGCACAAAGAATACTGAGAAGAGGCCCTCTATAGGCCCCTTATTTATTAAGGCAAAAACTAACTGGACAGTGGCACATGAGTGCTCTAAACAGGGCACCCCCAGCACAGGTGAGACGTACAACTTGTGTGGCTGGGGCTGAGGGAAATCAGGCCAAAGAGTGTTTGGAGGGAGGCAGACTTCAGCTCAATGCACCAGAGCCCTTTCTAACAGGGCAACAGTGAGGTCCTCCTCCTCCTTGAAAGTTTCTAGCAGAACCCGAGACCCGCCCCATCTTTTTTTTTTTTTTTTTGGAGACGGAGTCTCGCTCTGTTGCCCAGGCTGGAGTGCAGTGGCACCATCTCAGCTCACTACAACCTCTGCCTCCCGGGTTCAAGCGATTCTCCTGCTTCAGCCTCCCCAATAGCTAGGATTACAGGTGTGCACCACCACGCCCAGCCTGAGACTCCCCTTTCAAGTGGACGAATGTTATCAGGAGGAGACAGGCTCTATGCTGCGTCCCTGAAGCTCAATCCACGCCCCACTTATACAAGGAAGAGGCACAAACACTCTTGCAGCAACAAGTGGCAGGCCCATGTAAGGCCCAGTAAGTCAGCAGGGTATGACTTACTGAGGGAAAGGGTCTGAACAAAGCTTAAAGCCGAGACAGCATGCTGCTGCAAAGAGATGTCAGCTGTATCTCAAGTGTGCCAGAAAGTCAGGGCAGTGGAGCAAGCAGTTACTGTGAAAGCTCCTAGACATGAAGACTTGCTTAATATTGTTTTAAACAATTTGATTGCTTGGAGTATACTGCCAAAAGTGCTAGTATTAAAAAGTTTGCCAAATGCACACAGAGAAACAGTAGGCAAGACTGCAGATTCTGAGATTTGGAGGTCTCCGTGGTGACCAGCAGGCAGGGCTGCACACTGAGTCATCTTGTCTGCGTCTGAGAACCCAGACTCACTTAAACCTCGTCTTTCTGGCCTTGGGAGGTCAAGAGGCAATAGGGCACTGGGATGGTAGTTCCTCTAAGCACTTTAATTAGTACACAGACACTGGGTGAAACCCAACACCAACTAAGGGGAACTATTTGTCTCTAGAAACAGCCCAGGTAATTGGCAGTTAGCTGTGTGGATACCCTAATTCCCCTCCTCAACTTATTAAGTGTGGGGCAGAAAATAAAAGCTGCCAACTGCCTCAATTGGTCCCCAGAGACAGGTTCAGTTGTGGCTGCTGTGATTAGCAAAGAAAGAGCCCAAGGGAAAGGCTGAGGTCCTCAGGGGCCCTTGCCAGGAGGAAGATGCTAAGGTGCCATTACTAGCTAAAGGGGAACGGTCACTCTTCCATATGGGGACAGAACAATTTGTGGTTATAAGAAAGATGCCAAGAAGGTCACACCCACAGAGAGGTCCACATGGACTTTTGGTTACAACAACCAGTTAAAGCCCACTAAGCCAAGGGGAACTCACTGGAGGCAATTGCTAAGGGGTTTGGAGATCTCTTTGGGAGAAAGAATGCTATCACAAATTGTTAGTGAGAAGCAAAGTGAAAACGTGTGATTAGCCTATAAGGATTTGGCAAAAACAAACAAAATAGCAGGATGGGGGCAATACACAGAGCCACCACTGACTCAACTGTCATCAGGAGCTAGGAACTGCGCCGGACACAGCCTACAGTGAGCAACACTTACTGCACTGACCAGACAAGGAAATGGGGGCCCAGAGAAGGTAGATCACTTGCCCAAAGCCGCCCAGCTAGTAAGTAGGAGAGCTGCCGTTTAAACCTAGATTGACCAGTCCAACAGGTTCAACAGCAAGTCTGTTGATGTCTTGACACCAATATAGAAGCAAAGGTTTCTCATCTTCCTATTCAGATGTTACCCTTACCGCCTTCCCATGCTCTGGAAGGTGCCTGTGCAGTCTCACACTTTTTGGAGACAGGTACTGCCAGTGTGGCAATTCATCTTCCCCTCCTGGGGGACTGACAGTTCTCCCCTCATTGTTACTGACTCACCTGCCTAAAATACAGCCTTGCTCACCACCACCCACTCACCCTTGTCTTTTTTGGCAGGATGAAGTTCATTCTCCTCAGGCTGGCATTCAAGGCTCTTGGCAACTTAGCCCTATTTAGCTTTCTACTCTAGCCTCTGTGTGAACCCACCCAGGGATAGGCACTCTTCACAAATTCCAGTGTTCTGTCTTTGGACGTGCTATGGCCCCTGCTTCAAATATCCTAATCTGTTCTTCTTTCTTCAAGGTCCATCTTAAGTCATGTGTCCTCTACTTTGCCATCACTTACTTCTTTGGCAAAAGCCAGCTCCCTTTTCTGAGCTCCTGGTGGCCCTGAGACAGTGCGGTGCATATGGATTTGCTCAGATGAACTCTCTTTGGTAGCTCGATGGAGATCATGAGCACTGGAGCTCTGGCCTTTGAGCTGGCATGAGCTAGCCATGTGGCCAGTGGTAAATCACTTCCTTTCTCTGGAGTGGGAGTTGGGGGGACAACAATACTTAGGATGCAGGTGAGGATTTCACAACATTTAAAAAAGAGTGGGGAGTACTGACGCTGAGCCTGCATAGGCCTAGGCTAATGTGTGGGTTTTTGTTTTTAAGCAAAAAAAATTTAAAAAGTAAAAAAATTACTTTTTTAAAATAGAAAAAAGTATACAGAATAAGGATATGAAGAAAGAAGGGCCAGGCACGGTGGCTCAGGCTTGTAAGCCCAGCGCTTTGGGAGGCTGAGGCAGGAGGACAGCTTGAGCCCAGAAGGTCGAGGCTGCCAAGTAATCCAAGATCGTGCCACTGCACTCCAGCCTGGGTGACAGAGCGCGACCCTGTCTTATGTTTGTGTTTTACGCTAAATGTTAATGAATCAAGAAATTTTTTAAAAATTTTAAGTTTAGAAAGCAAAAAAGTTACAGTAAGCTAAGGTTAATTTATTTTTAAAGAAAGAAATTCTACAATAGTGTACAGTAATGTCCTAGGCCTTCACACTGACTCATTACTCACTCACTGACTCACCCAGAGCAACTTCTAGTCCTGCAAGCTCTATTCATAGTAAGTGCCCTATATAGGTATACCATTTTTAATCTTAAAAAAAAAAACAAAACTTTAATATAATTTTGTAGAGATGGGGGTCTCCCTCTGTGGCCCAGGCTGGTCTCAAACTCCTGGGCTCAAGTGATCTTCCTGTCTTGGCCTCCCAAAGTGTTGGGAATATAGGCATAAGCCAGCAAGCCCAGCCATTTTTTTTACCTTTTATGCCGTATTTTCACTGTACCTTTTCTATGTTTACATGTTTAGACACACAAACACCATTGTGTTACAACTGCCTATAGTAGTATTCAGTACCACAACATGCTGTACAGGTTTGCAGTCTAGGAGCAATAGGCTCTATCTACCATATAACCTAGGTGTATAGGAGGCTATACCATCCAGGACTGTGTAAGAACACTCCATGATGTGTGCACAAAGACAAAATCGCTTCACAGTGGATTTCTCAGAATATATCCCCGTCATTAAGTGACGCATGAGTATATAGTGAATGCAAGATGATCGGCAAGCTGCTAATTCTCAGTAACCACTTGCTGAATTTGTATAAAGACCTAGGTCCCCAGGGGGTTCCAGGGAAGGGGGTCTGGTGAGCAGGCAGATGACACAACCTCTACCCACGCCCTCTATTGTCATTCAAACCACGGTGTGACGGGATGGCCAAAGGAGTGACTCCAAAGCCCCTTCCCCACTGGCTGACCGTCCAGATAAGGTTGGAGGGCCGCCCCTCAGCTCCGGGTGCTTGCACTTAGAAACCTGAAGATTACTGAAACCAGGGACTACAGACCTTCTTCCCCCATCTCCCTCCCCTGTATGCCTTTCCCTAACCCAAAATAGAAAGTATTTCCCAATTTACAAATTAAAGTAGTTCTCAAAATCAATTTTACAGCCAGCAATCATGACTCTGATGTTATATAACTAGTAAAAATAAATAAATAAAGAGAGAGCGAGATGCCCACACTGGAGAGCTGCCCCGTGACAGGATCACCAGGCTGCCCATGTGACAAGACCCCGCACAGGTTTTCAGCTCTAAAAAGCAAAACAGTACAAAAACAACAAAACGCCATGTTCTTGAAACACAATTATAGCAGAGAGCAGATGCAAATAAGGACAGAAGAGCAACACATCATAACCTAATGAGAAGCTGATTACCAAGAAAAGAACAAAACGCAGCAAGACTCAGCCATGAACGCAGCCCCGAGTCCAAGGGACCATTCTGTGCCTGTGAAGGTGCTCTTTGTTCGCAGCAAAACTGAGATCCAACAGTCCTCTCAGAAGACCCAGATAAACGGGCGCCACTTACCACAAACACCCACGCAGGAGAGAGAGTACGGTCTCATGTCCGCACGTCCAAGACTCATTTGTGTATCTCCCTACTCCCCTAAACCGTCTCCTGCTGCAACATTCACTCTTACATGGCTCTGTTCCCACCACCCAGTCACTCAAGCCACACATGATGGAGTCAGCTCTGAGCCACTCCTTCCTACCTTCCGATTTCAGGCCATCTGAGAGCCCTTTTGAACCTCCAAAATGCACCTTGAATTCACTCCCACTTCACCATCTCCCCTAACCTGGGCAGCTACAGCCTCCTACCTGGGCTCCCTGCTTCCACAACTGCCTCTCTCCAGTTTTACTGGCCACAGAGCAGCCAGTGACCTCCTCCTGGCCTCCCACACCTTGACCACCGCACTCCAGCCGGCTCCCTCCTCCTCTGCTTGGCAGAGGCCTCATCCTTCAGGTCTCGGCTTCAATGCCACCTCCTCAGAGAGCCTTTCTCTGACCGCCTTGGGCAGGTCCTCATTTTCTGCTATTTTCTTCATTTACACACAACTGAAACTGTACCTATGGTACTCTCGTATGACACGTCTCTCAAACTCAGTGCCTCAAGGGTGAGGACCACGTCTGCTTTTTTCACCCATGTGTTATTAATAGAGGCACCCACTACAGTGCCCAACACACAGTTGATCAAAAAATTAACGGGTCCCCTTGGGCATGCATGTTTTCCTTTTTATTGGTGGGGGAGGGGGAAACACATGAGCCTGCACACATTCCGAGATGCTAATTCTCGCTCTGCCATCAGCGTGCCCGAGAACTGGCATGAAAGGGCAGCAGGAACCAACGCCTGTGTGGTACCTGCTGCGTGCCTGGCAGGCCTCTGCCAGCTTTTCATTCCCGTTCTATGTAATCCCCACGGCAATCCCTCCAGGTGTTAGCAACCCCCCTTTACGAAGGCAGACTCGGAGGCTCAGAGAGATGCCCAGGGTTTACATGGACTGAGGATGGGAATTCTCATCTCCACGGCCCAAACCTGGCTCACAGCGGGTGCTCAATACATGTCTGTGGAACAGAAAAACGAAGTTTGCTAGTCACAATTCAAAGTCATGTTTAAGATTCCACTTAGAGGCCTGGTGCAGTGGCTCAAGCCTGTAATCCCAGCACTTTGGGAGGCCGAGGCGGGTGGATCACGAGGTCAGGAGATTGAGACCATCCTGGCCAACATGGTGAAACCCTGTCTCTAATAAAAATATGAAAATTAGCTGGGCGTGGTGGCATGCACTTATAATCCCAGCTACTCGGGAGGCTGAGGCAGGAGAATCGCGTGAAGCCAGTGAGCCGAGATTGTGTCACTGCACTCCAGCCTGGCAACAGAGCGAGACTCCACCTCAAAAAAAACCCCCCACAGATTCCACTTAAGAGACCTAAGTTCCACCTGTACCTCGGGGGGCTTCCCTGTTTCCTATGCCCTGTTGCTTCTCAATTTCTCCTTCCTCTAGGGGTGACCTCCCTACCATTCAGACTTCACAGGAATCCTGTGGTTGCCCTGACAGCACTCCCCTGAGATCACCTTGAGACATTCATCATTATTATGGCTCAGAAGTCCACTTCCCCAGGGAAGCCCACGGAGAGGTTAAATTGTTTCCTCCTACTCCCACAGGAGTAAGAGGCCACAGGGCTTCACCCTATCCTGAAGACAAATGCACTGAGAGCCTGAGCGGGAGTCAGTTGTCCCAGGGTCCCAGAACCACATCCACCATGGAACTAGGAACACGCCAGGACAGAAGGAACGGGGGAAAGGGAAAACAGTGGTCCTTCAGGTACCTTGGTTCTCTGGAGGAGTGACTTGTCCAAGTCACAGTGCTAGGTAATTATACAATTACTTATGGAATTATAGAAGCCAGGACCTTACAGGCCCTCCCGATTCTCACACCTAGGTCCAAGCTTTTTGAAGGTAAAAGGGTAAAAGGTGAGGGCAATGGTCTGCATGTCTAAAAGATGGCAGGGTGGCTGACTGCACATTTACCCTCTTTTGCCAGAGCAGTTCTGAAGCTTTTGTGTTCATCAGCCATCACCTGGAGAGCTGATACAATACCACTCCCCAGTTTCCAACTCAGTAGGTTTGAGGTGCAGCCAGAAATACGTGTTTCTAACAAGTTCCCAGGTGATGCTGCTGGTCTGGGAACCACATCCTGAGAACCACTGGTGCTAGGGTTTCTCACTGACACTGTGTGTTGGGGGGTGGGATCAAGTGAGGAGGAGCAGAGAGGACACAAGGGGTTGAAGATATCTTCACCAACACTTCTTACTCATGACATCCTCTGTTCCTGCTGCAGATAAAATAAAAGCAATCTTTTAACCATGGTTAAAACTTCACCCAGGTTCATATAATTAGGCTCAAGACTCACATCTGGATCTCTCTATGGCAATGATCCCAACTCAGTTCTAAGAGCAGGAGCGAGTCTGGCATTATCACGACGGCTGTTGTCCTGCTTACAGGACTCCAGAGCAGCAGGAAGGAGCTATGTGCTCTCTGAAGGCTTTTCCTGCTATACCTGTTGGTACCCTGGCCCCTAAGATGCTCAGGTCAGAAAAGGGAGGAGGACCTCTGGACCATGTCAGTGGTGTCATCTGGATTTCAGTTTAGGCACTTGGCCTAAACTCCAAAATATTTTTAAAAGTTAAAGTTAGCCTGTTTGTCTGGGGTGTGGTATAATCACTTATTTCTGCTGTTCTATGCAAACCAAGGGTTCCTTCCAAACATCATCAGATCCAAGATGCAATCTGGTTACTAACAACAGAGTCTTTACTTGTGACTTCTAGTTCTCTTTCTGTCTGGTACAAGGCCGGGCTGTGCTGGTAATGCCCATACAACCTGCCAAGATCTGACAACACTATACTCCCAACTCCATGCCTTAGATTTGCCCTAGGCATGCCTAGCTTTCTGAGAGGGCTTGTCTTAAGCACATCCAAAAAAAGTAGAAAAAAAAAAACAAAGGGGTGCTGTACATGGTGAAGGGTTTTCTTTCCCCACAAAGATGGAAGTAAATGCAGAATGAGTCAACTGGTTCACATCATCTTTGTGATTTTCCCATTAAAATAGATAATCAATACTAAAACCCAACACGATATAACAAAGCCAACCTGCCTCCTGTTACAGCTACACTACCAGGCCTCCGAGTTCAGGGGAAAAAAAAATAAAGGTGACCATTCATAAGGCGACTTCCCCAAGCCCCACATCAAGATGCTTTTTGCAGCCTGGAAAAATGGAAGCATTTTCATCTTCCTCACTATGGCCTATGGAGTGCCTGGGTGGCCCTAATCCATTCCTCCCATGTCCCTAGACATCACTTTCTTTAATAAAGAAACAAAATATAGAGTTCTGACCTGTGTACGATGCAAACTGAGTTATAGCTTTCCCCTGGCACCTCTAACTGAAAGTGAAATTTCTTTAAAAGTTGGGAAATTCATTGCAGTGTTTTATGGTATTGATTTATTTTAAACTTGGTTGGCAGTTTTAAGGCCTGCCATGCCTCTGAATCCTAGAAACGCTGGAGGAGATCTCCATTTCCTCTGATTTTGTAATATCACAGCGGACTCACTAGTGGAAATGAAAAGAGGGGCTGGGAGCACGAATGCGGCTGCCCTAATCAAGACAGAGCCTTGGGCACTCTCCCTAGGTCCTGGGTCCACAGTGTATCTCCAGTTGGGAATTTCACTACCTGAACAGTAGTACCCTTTCCTCCTGTAGCTGAGAATACTGTAATGAAACCAAACCTGAGTATGTACCCTGAGATGTGGCTCCTGCGCATCCCACCTGGCTTACAAGGTACCCCTAAAACCTACCTTCAAGAACCAGCCTGGAATACCACCTCCTCCACTCTTTCCTGTCCTCCTGTATCTCTACTGAGCCATCTATAACCCATTACCACCAAGTGTCCATATCTCATCTGCATTATTAAACTAAGTTCCTAGGAGACCATATTGGGGTCTAAACAATCAATGCCTCCACTGGGCAAGTGCCTACCATATGCCAGAATCTGACTTGGCTCCAGAATCTTTCGACACAGGGCTATGGGCAGCCACATCAATTGGAGTAAGCATGAGTGACGGAATCCCTTGCTTAAGTCAGGATTCAGTGAGTGAGCTGGAAGATTTGTCAGAAAGAAACAGAGCAACCGCTGCCATTCTGCTGGGTCCTCATCAACTTTAAAATCCCTGGGTTCACTCAGAATGGGCTTCTGCCAGGGCACCAGGACCACAGACACGTATGATGCCTTTGGCTCTTATTGGAGCCCTTTCCTTGCAGCTGGTGCCAGACGCTGGCCTAATGACAGCATTCCCTCAGTGCTGGGTGCTTTCCCAGCTGCCGGTGGGTGGAGGTGTGCTTTAGATCTCCTACTTTCCAAACTTTTGGCAATTTTGACCTGGCTGCATATGTGGCTCCTGCCTTCTCTGCTGCCAGACCTCGGTTATATGGGCACCTCACACTATCCCAGCCTTGCCTCCTCTGCCAATGTTTGGGGCAGTCATTGTAACACAGGAGGAATCCACATGCAGGCTGACCTCGCCTGAAGGGATGGCTGGTGGCCCTGCCACAGTGTGCCTGTGCTGAAACCAGTGTCAGACTGTGAAGGACACCCATGGCAGCCCTGGCTGCTTTACTGTATGGTACTACTGGAGGGGAACCCACCATCTGCCTCAGAATAGAAATTCATTAAAAGTGGCTTTAAGAGGCTGTAGAATGCAGAACGGAGCAGTAGAGTTTCCAGACAGATACATCTCGTCTCAAATCCTGGCTCTCAAAACCTTAGGAAAGTGATTTTCTGCTTCCTTATCTGCAGAAAAGAGGGCACATAACAGAATAGCTAAGCAGATGATGTATGATAATGATACATGTAAAGTGCTTAATTCAGGGCTCGGAATAAAAAGGCAGGGTCTCTGCCCTGCACAAGTCAAGGGGTCCCTCAGAGCAGGTTTTGATAACCAGTAGCTGTTGGTGGGAGTGTCTGCGTCCCTGGGGTAAGAGGAAATGGGAGTTGGAAGCACCCCTGAACCATCAGGCAGCTTTGCTCACAGCTGGACGATTACAAGAGCCACTCTGATTTGCCCAAAGGGATGCTATCTAGGTTAGGTGGCACCAAGGAGGCCATGGAGGAGGAACATGTGAGCAGCAACTGGGCCTTGACGTCAACAGCCCCGGGCCAGGCCTGTCCCCTCATGGATGCTTTCAAGTCCTGCAGAGCTGCAAGGGACAGATGATCCCTGGGGGGCCATCGGCCCCATTACATAACTGACAGCTCAGCTTCCTGCTGTTGATGCGGCAGAAACAATCAAGAGATGGCAACAGCAGGTCACTGGGGAGCTTGTGGGGACTTACAAAAAAAATAAAATACCAGCCTTCCCCACCTGGGGAGGAAAACTCCTCAGAAAACACCAGCAGAGAGATGAGGCCCCAAGGGACATGTCTCTTTGTATACAGGTATCTAGCGCCACTAGGGTCTTCACAGTTGAAGACTGAGCTTCAATTTCCTGCGAGAAAAGAGAACCAAACACTCTGACTCTTCACTCATAACCCCCACCTCTTGTGAAGCTGTTTAGTGCTAGTGAGATGGGTTGTGGCAAAGCTGTGACCCCTACTATATGGGCAGGGACTCAAAGAACCTCAGGGGTTCTGGATCTGCCTGGATTAAAGAATTGATCATCATCAAGAGATACCACCTCGACCCCATGATCTCTCTGCTCTTAATAACACCTCCATTCTTACCCACTTCGGGGTACAGCTTAGCGTTTCCCTTTTCCCATCCTCCCTTTGGGAAATTCAAGGCTCCACCAAAGACTAAGTAGGGATCAGCTTCTGGGGTGCAAAACCAAACCACTGACTTCGACCCCTTGGCAGTTACACCTTCCCATGAAGGAAGAACCTTCCTTGCTTCTACTTTCCTTTGGGCTACCTGGCTGCTTATCACCATATTCTGGACCTTTGCAGAGTAGGAGAGGAACTAGCTCCTCTTGAAGCCCTACTAAGTGTTCCATACTGCGCATCTCATAATGCTCTGGGCTTTGTGGGCAGGAAATTCTATCTACTTTGATGCTCAGTTATTTGTTGAATTCAATTAGGAAAACATTTTAAATTTAAAGATGATTCAATGAGGCAATAAACCAAACTGGTTAAAGCCATGGACTGACTCCTGGGTTCAAGGCTAGGCTTTACCTCTTCTTAGCTCTGTGACCTTCAGGAATTTACTTGAAAGTAAGTAAATGAATTATCAGTCATAAAGCACTCAGCCCAGGGACGACCATGAATCACTGCCGTTTTGGTCATCTTTGGCGCTGCTGCCCTTCTTCACAGCCTAACCCCTCAGGCTGCCACACTCCTCAGCCAGGCACCAGGTACAGGCAAGGGAGGGCAGTCCTGTAAGGCAGGAGCTAGTTCCTGGCCATCCTGAGAGCTGGGCCAGGAAGTCATAGAGTGGACCTATTTAGTACTGGCGGTCCCAACTTCTCACCTAAAACGATTTTAAAATTTACCCTACAGAGACTGCTTTGAATACTTTGCTGTTTCAAACAAACCATGTTAATTACGCATTTCTTTTCCATTTTTTAGTATCACTGCTGATTAACTTGGTAGCTATAGCGTGCGTAACAACACAGTTGCGTGTAATTCCAGCCCAAAGCAAAAAATTGGTCATTGAATTGGGCTTCTATGGCTTCAACAGGCAATATACTCTTGCCTGTCAGATAAGCTGAAAGGGCTTGTGAATTCCTGTCTTTGATTAGGGTTGTACTAGGGTTAGATCTTGCAAAATAGAAGTAAAATCTGAAGCGCAGGTCAAGGGGCCAACGCAGGTCACCCAGTACGTTAGCTGAGAGCCACATCTTTGGACCCCAGGCCAGGGATAAATGCATCAACTATTACTTCAACAGAAATTGGGCCTGATTTCCTTCTCTGATGTTAGGCAGCTACCAAGATCTCATATAGAACTAGAAATACTTTCTGTGACCCCTCAGGTCACACCAACATCTGATTTCCTTCAGCAGGCCTTAGCTGCCCACTCCAAAAAGACGTCATTCGAGGGCTTTGGCTTCAAAAGGCCCTAGTAACGGAGGTTTGTATATCAGACAGCAGACTTGGCCATGAATGCAGATTCCCTCATCCCACAACACTCTCCCTGGTAACACGTGGGCGGAGGCACCTGGAACATCAGTTTGGCTGGCTTCCTGCATGGGATAAAAGGCTGTGGCTAGCTGGTAGGAGCCATTAGGAATTATTAAACATCTTTCAAAAGCGACAAATAAGAAAGAGATCAGACCCATCACTGAATGGTCTTTAAAAATAGATATACTTTTCTGGAACAAGTGATTGGACAGCGTGGGCCTTGACTACAGCTTTGTTTCAAAAGAAAAGCTATTTGGCAATCCACAAAAGTGAGGCTACCAAAGACCACTGTCTTCAGAGGGAAATGGAAGCCAATACTTCTACCTAGGCCAAAGTATGGATCTAAACAATGCTACTGTATTACAATTAATTCAGACTGTTTACATAGGGCACTTTCACAACCTCTTGTGATTCCCCCAACAACCTCAATAAGATATATAGGATCAACTCCATTTTATAGATAATAAAACTGCGGCCCTGATAAGTGGAATAATTTGCCTAAGGCCACACAGTCAGGAAAACGCAGATATGAGACTCCATCCCTGCATTGTTACTAGACACCACTTCTTTCAGGGGAATCCCAGGTTTCCAACCCAAAATGCATTTCCTTTTATTTTTGCAAAAAAACTGAAACTAGTTAGTCCTGACTTAAATGCGACTCTGAAATCTACAATCCTAAAACATTGAGGTGTTTTTTCATCTTGGTGGTATAGGGGTCAAGTGTGTTTACTTATGCAACTAGAGTTTTTTTGTTTTTTTGAGACAGAGTCCCTCTCTGGCGCCCAGGCTGGAGTGCAGTGGTGTGATCCTGGCTCACTGCAACCTCTGCCTCCCTGGTTCAAGCAATTCTCCTGCCTCAGTCTCCCAAGTACTGGGCCTATGGCATGTGCCACCACACCTGGCTAATTTTTGTATTTTTAGTAGAGACCAGGTTTCACCATGTTGCCCAGGCTGGTCTCAAACTCGTGAGCTCAAACAATCTGCCCCTACTTGGCTTCCCAAAGTGCTGGGATTACAAGGCATGAGCTACCACGCCCAGCCTATTTTAATTTTTAATAGTACAAACATCCACAGATATAACCCAAAACAAAAGCTCTTTGGAGTCCGTAAATTCAAAAATGTAAAGAGGCTTTCAGACAAAATACTTTGACAACTACTGGTCTATTCTTCCACTGTCTCCAATTCCTCTCCTCTTCCCCTCTCAAATCCACTCTAGTTACAGGTTTCCCCATTACTCCACCAAAATTGTTCATGAGTACTGATGCTTTCCCATTTACTAAATCCAATGATCAAGTCCTCTCAATCAACTAGCAGATGATGCCACGGCTGGCTCCCTCCTCCTCTTGATGTCTTTTCCCCTCTCTCTGGCTCCTTTCTTTCTTCCCATCCTCAATGTTGCACCACCTGGAGCTCAGTCCTCTGACCTCCTCTTGTCTATACCCACTCCAGTACTGTGGCAAATCTCTAAATTTGTATCTCTAGGCTGGACCCCTCCCTTGAACTCCAGACTCATCCAACTGCCTACTCTACATCTGTAGTTGGATTCTAAATAGGCATGCCAAACTTTCAGATAACTAAAACCTAACTTTGTCCTGCCAACCCTATTCCCCCAATGTCTTCCCCATCTTATTTAATGGCAGCTCTATTCTTCCCATCACTTAGGCTGACACCTTGAAGTGATGATTAATTCCTTTCTCTCACACCTCCCATATGATCCGGCCGGAAATCCTGCTGGCTCTGACTTCAAAAAAATACCCAAAATCCAATAATCACTTCTCTGTTACATTGTTTCAAGCCATCGTCATCTCTCACCTGGATTATTGCAACAGCCTCCCATCTTATCCCGTTATTTCAAGATGCAAAGTGATCCTTTCAAAAGAGCAGATATCACACAGCTGAAAACATCCCCATGGCTTTCCATCTCATCCAAAAACACAAGCCAAAATCTCTAGAGGCTTACGAGGCCTACTTGGCTCCTAGTTATCTATCTCTTCCTATACACTCCTTGCTCACTCTGGCCAACTTTCAGGACCTTCACAGTGGCCATTACTTCTGTCTGAGATGCTCTTTCCCCAGAAATCCTTGGGACTCACTCCCTCGACTCCTTCTAACATTCGCTCAAAGGTCACCGTCTCTGGGAGACCCACTCTGATATCTTCCATTTAAAAGTACATCCCCACCCCTCCCCACCACCCAAGCTTCAGATCTCCCCTACCCTGCTCTACTCTTCCCATCCTACCCTCTCACCGCACCCAGCACCGAGCACTTTCTTGTACATTACCTATGGGTACTGTCTTCCCAACAGAACGAATGTTAAGCTCCATACTGCAAAAACTTGTCTGTTTTGTTCACCGATGTATTATCTGTGTCTAAAATGGTACTTGGAAAGAGTTTCCAAAGAACATGTTGAATGAATAAATGAAATTAGCTTGTCCATCTACAAAACTTGGCAGGGGAAAGGGAGGTCAGACTCAATGTTCTTCCCAAGTCAAGCCTCAGATTCTCTGACCAGCCAGATACAGCTCTTCTACAGAAGCTGATTTGAAGTTTCTGGCAACACAGGGTTTGGCTCTGGTCACAGACCTGGGCCCAGGCCCACAATTCTAAGTGCCCACCTAAGACAGGGGAGGATAGGCTATGGTCAAATTGGCACCACCAGTACTGTAAAGATTAGCTGTAAGAGCCACAAAATGAATTAACAAAACAGCCTGGGACACTCACCAGTAACCATATTCCTAATCTTTTCCCCTCTTCTCAAGGTCGCCTATTTCTCCTACATGAAAGAATCACTCCAATTTAGCCAAAACTGCCCTGCAAAACAGCACAAATCTCAAGTGTGGATATCCACATGGAAGCCCTGATCTCAATTAGTTATGACAACCCCATAATCGTAACCTAAATTCAGGTCCCTCTTCCAATGACAACCTTCCTATGCCAGAGCAAATCTGAATTTTAAGAGGTCTTTCAAAAGCAGAAAGCATGAGATGGAAATGGGAAGTGACAGCACAAAATACATTTAAAACACTGTCTAGCCAACCCTTTTGGTTTCTAATATAGCACTACCCTAAACCTAGCTTTGGGGACTGCTGTTCTCCTACCCACGGGTGGTAGGCCCAATTGGTCCAGCACCTGGAACACACGTTTGTAGAATGAAAGAATTAAACCTAAGTGACTCACTCGAGAAATACATTCACTGAGAACACTACACATGAAACCAAGCTCAACTTGGAATGAGCCAACCCCACCTAGAAACCAGAGGATAATGAAGGGAAAGGGAGGGAACCCACCCAAGTGATGGAAAGCTCCGTGCCTTATGGCTCCTGAGGCTTCTTGTGACCACCAGGAGGATCAGCACTAGCTCCATCACCTCATCAAGACTTCAGCACAACGTAAGAGCAGCTTACTTCTAGCTCACCATATTAAGGGAAAAGGGGGTGGGGGATGCTTGAATAAGATATACCCATCCTTAACTTAGTAGGATCTGGGGTAAATTACTTAATCCCTTGCAGGGTTGTAAAGGTGAAACAAAATGGTTCATGTGAAACTACCTAGCATATATGCTGGTCAATTTTTCATCTTATTTCTCTTACACACACATCAAACTTCAGTCCAACTAAACTATTCTGCTGTTCCTATAAATACCTTTGGGTTTTCCAGTTCAATTTCTGTCTACACTGTTCCCTGTCCTCTCTAATTTCCACATGCCTACTTCCTCATTAACCCAAATTGGTCTAGTCTCTCAAATGTGCCAGGCTCTCCCTGGTTTCAGGTCCTTCGCAGAGGTTGGTCTATCTGGGATGCTCCCTCACCCCCAATTCCCTCCTCTTGACTCTGTGCATCAACACCCGAAAGGTCAATTTCCCTGAATACCTCTTCTCCTTAAACAGCTATAAAACAATTATGATTTGAAGAATTAGACCTAGTGACTCATTACAAAAATACCTTCATTGAAAATACTACACATGAAACCAAGTTCAACTTGGAGTTTCTCTCCCTAATTAAGATGCAGAATTCATGAAGATGGAGAAAGTCTCTGATTTGGCTTATCATGTCACCCCAGAGCCTAGCACATACAGTTATGGGTCGCTTAACAATGGGCTGCTTAACGATTTCTGAGAAATGAGTCATTAGGCGATTGTTGTGTAATGTCAAGAGTGTACTTACATAAACCTAGATGGTGTAGCCTACTACACACCTAGATGACATGTATGGCCTATCATTCCTGGACTACAATTCTGTACAGCATGTTACTGTACTGAATACTATAGGCAGTTGTAACACAATGGTAAGTTTTTGTGTATCTAAACACAGAAAAGGTAACACATACACCATAATATGCACTATAACATTACAACAGCTACATCACTAGGTAATAGGAATTTTTCAGTTCCATTATAATCTAATGGGACCACCGTCATATAGGCCATTCCTTTTTGACCAAAACGTTGTTCATGCGGAGCATGACTGTACTTCACAAAGGAAAACTCACAATAAATTTTTTTTTTTTTTGAGACGGAGTCTCGCTCTGTTGCCCAGGCTGGAGTGCAGTGGCACGATCTCAGCTCACTGCAAGCTCCGCCTCCCGGGTTCACACCATTCTCCTGCCTCAGCCTCCCGAGTAGCTGGGACTACAAGTGCCCGCCACCACGCCTGGCTGATTTTTTTGTTATTTTTAGTAAAGATGGGGTTTCACTGTGTTAGCCAGGATGGTCTTGATCTCCTGACCTCGTGATCCGCCCACCTTGGAATAAATTTTTTAAATAAGCAAAGACTTCTACATAAATATTCACTAATACATTCTTTATAGTATCTAAAATGGAAAAAATCTGTTTTCTAAAGTAGGAGAATGGTTAAATTATGGTACATATAATGGGAATGTCATACAGTCCCTGAAAAGCCATACTTCTAAAGTATGACATGGAGGAATGCTCAGATTAGTAATGAGTAAAAAGAAAAAGACCTTGACCAACTAGGGCAAGATCTAAACTATGTGGAACCGGATGTGTGAGTAGGTGGGATACAATCAGAGATAGTGTTTATTCTCTGAAAACCTGTCTACCTCTTATGCACATTTTCTACAGTGAGCATTTATAATGATGAGAAAGAGCGTTTCTAAAAAAAGGGAGACTCGGCTTAAACGCAACCTCCTCTGAGAAGACTTCTCTAGACTTTCCAACGTGTACTCAGATAATTGCACGTTTCTCCCATCAAGATATGGGGGGGATCTTTGAAAAGAAGCACTTCATTTTCTTCAACTTTGTATTCCCCTGCAAGTTCACAGGGCCCATGCCAGGGTCCAGAATGAAGAACCCGGTCCAAGAAGTGGGCATACAGAAAAAAAAGAGAGGCTGGGCATGGTGGCTCACAACTGTAATCCCAGCACTTTGGGAGGCTGAGACCAGCAGATCGCTTGAGGTCAGAAGTTTGAGACCAGCCTAGCCAACATGGTGAAACTCCGTCTCTACTAAAAATACAAAAATTAGCCGGGCATGATGGCAGGTGCCTGTAATCCCAGCTACCCAGGTGGCTGAGGCACGAGAATCACTTGAACTCGGGAGGTGGAGGTTGCAGTGAGCTGAGATCCTGCCACTGCACCCGCTGCACCCCAGCCTGACCAACAGAGTGAGACCCTGTCTCAAAACAAAAAACAAAAAACAACAACAGAGAGCACTCACCTAGTTTAAAATCACCCAAAATGCTTAGCCCTGAATTTTAAGCAGCACATGTGACCTGGTCCATTCTGGTTTCAAGTTCAAAGGCATCAGGCCGGTCCTGTGGGTTAGCAGCTAACATATCTTTCAAGAGCTGCTTGATCCCCTCAGACATGGAAGTCCTGCGTTTTTGGGGGATGTGCAACTCCATCTTTGGGTTTTCTAGCAGCGCCTCACCAACAGGGACGATCTCAGTCCCCTGTTTAATGTAGGTCCCCAGGAGCTCCTTCTTGGTCTCAGAGTCAATAAAAGTGATTCTTTCTATCATTGCCCAGATGATAATGCCCAGGGCAAAGATGTCCGCCTTGGCTGTGTAGTGTCCCTCCCAGACTTCAGGAGCCATGTAGAAGTCCGAACCGCAGGCTGAGGACAGCCAGTACTTATTCACATTCACATTTTTGTTGTCTTGATTGCCCTCTTTGCCTCGGGGTGCCAGCCCAGCACAGACCTTGCTTAGTCCAAAGTCGGCCACTTTGAGGATGGGGGTGCCAGACCGCTCTGTGATGAGGATGTTGTCTGGCTTCAGGTCCCTGTGCACAATATGGTTTTTGTGCAGGAAGGCAATGGCGCTCGTCAGCTGTAGCATGAAACTTTTGTTGGTGGCTGGGTCTGGCCTCCGGGACAGGACATACTGATTCAGGTCTCCACCTTCACAGAACTCCATGACAAACCAGAGATAGCAGGGCTCCTCAGCATAACCCAGGATCCTTTCTCCTAAATCAAAGAAGACAGGAAGGAGCTTGAGTGAGATGGACACAGTCACACTTCTTTTTAACTAAAGGATGCAGTGTATTCAAGAGTGACATTGGTGACAAACAACTGCTCCAAGGGGACCTGCACAACTGGCACTGAGTGCCTTTCTAAGGTATGACACAGGCACCAGGGACTGGTGTCAGGTACCTGGGTTTGGAATGAGGCCCAGGTGGAAACTCGGGTTTACTGCCGTCTGGTTGACTGCGAAGCCTTTTTGTTTCATTATACTGTCTCCAAACAGGGAGTGCCATACCACCCACACCTCCCAAAGCTGCTGGGCAGATGGGACAAGGGAAAGCATGCAAGAAGGCTGTCACGGGTCTGTTGCTTCTAATATCATTGTTACTCCATGCTGAGCAAATGACCTTCCCTCTCTTTTTTCCTGACTTGTAGAAGGATTCTTGTTAATGCACCTAGAATGGCACTAGAATTTCCTTTATTTCAGAGGCACACTCCTACAATTTCCTTGGTTTATTTCAGAGGCACAGTCCGATCCATCAATATTTTCTGCAAGCCCACCACATGCCTAGCACAAGTTAGGTACATAACATGCCTCCACCTCTATGAGGCTTAGTTTCAAGGAGATGACAGGTATCCACAGCAGCAACCATCAAAAGCTGTACATCGCCATCAGGCTCAACTACTACAAACAGTGAAGCGGAGGCAGGAGTCGCCAGATCTGAATGTACATCTCCATCAGGGTCAACTCATATAAACAGTGAAGGGGGGGGCAGGAGTGGCCAGATCTGAAGGTGTCAGAGGGGGCAGGACTGAACTTACCCTGTAAAAGGCAGGCAGTAGATCAGTGGGGGAGCAGGAAGGTAATTCTAGGCTGAAAGATGGAATGGATGATGGAACACAGGGACAAAAAGACCAGAAAGGTGTAAATTGGAAGTCTGGTGGGAACAGTGGAGTCTAAAGTCGATGTACAAGACAGATTTAAATTGTGTGGGCTTGAAACTCTAGGAAAGCTGGTGACCAACCTCTCCAAGCAAATCTCAATGTTCTTTATAAAGCAACTGACAGTCCAGTGAATCTTTATGTGGATGTTATGTGATGACTACAACTGCTCCCAAAGCTAAGTGTAAGAAGGCAGATGTTTTATCTCACTGATGAGGAGAGGCTGGGCCTGCAAATGTGCTGGCTTGTTCTGGGTGGTCACAAGGTCATTTGTAACTGAGCCAGGACCTGAAGAGAAGTCCTCTCTCTGGCCCCAGTATGGAGTATGCATCCTACCAAAAATGACTGCACTTCCTCAGACAGCTTCTGGCAGAGGGTTCCTTTTACTAGTCATTTACTCTATTACAAAGAAAACGAGTGATCTAGGTGAGGCTCTGCTAACCCCAACAGCCTGAAATTACCAAGGCTCACAGTCTACTAAAGCCAATGGTCTGAGAGTTCTGGGTTCAGCCAAGATGATGTGACACACAAAACAAAAGCTTTAGGTTTTTGATCACAATCGGATAGCCCTCACTTCCCTTGTAATTATATAATTTATTTGCTTATATTACTCACAATCAAAGTAATACAGGTAGAACCAGTTTAGGGCAGATGTTTTTTGTTCTTTTCAAATCAGTTATTTCCCCTCTCATAATCCTCTATCTAGGTCATGGGCAGAGGCCCTCTATGTAAAAATACTGCACAATGAAGCATCAATCTGAAGCCCAAGTCAATCCAGATGCTAAAGACCCACAAAAAGGAGAGCAAGAAATGTGTACTACAGGTAGAACCAGAAAGGAAAAGATCAAAAAGCCATCCAATTCCTTTTGCAAAGGCCACATCAGAAAACACTGAAACTTCTGGTGGGGGAATAAAGGAAGAGGAATGATGGTTATTTTATATACAAAGTTAGTAACTATGGCAACCTAAGGAAAAAGAAAACAAGTCTGCAAAACAGACTATAATCTAAGTCCAGGTTATGAGAATCCAGGGAAAGAAAAAATGGTAAAAAAAGAACCCAAAGTTTGTGAGTGGTTGGGGGAGACTGGACCTTCGGACTGAGGAGCTGCTCTGAGGAAGGAGCTAGACTCAGGAGATGCTACAGGAGGGGCTGTTTGTTGAGAGGAAAATTCTGGACAGGAAGAAGTATTCTCAGAATCACACCCAGTAACAGTGGGTATGACAGAATGGAAAACTGGGAGTGCAGCTATTTGTCCCAGATACAAAAGTGTTATTATTTTTACGAGTCAAGGTCTCACTCTGTCACCCAGGCTGGAGTGCAGAGGTGTGACCATAGCTCACAGTAGCCTCCAACTCCTGTGCTCAAGTGGTCCTCCCGCCTTGGCTTCCCAACGTACTTCCAAAAGAAGTACTTTTGAGGCCGGGTGCAGTGGCCTCAATAGTCCCAGCTTCTCAATAGCACCTGGCCTCAAAAGTACTTCTTTGCGCAGGAAAGGCCCCTGGACTTCTTTCATGAGAAGCTGCAGCGTATGCTTTCACACACGAACTCCCGGGAGAAAACAAACATGTCAGAATTCTAGTCCTTTACTCCAAGCAGACTGTCTAACGGGGTCTCAGCTACCTCACGACCAGATGGAAGGAGGCGACGTGGATGATGCCAGGCACTCGGAGGCACTTGGTGAAGTAACAGGAAAAACACAGACCAGGAAACAAAGAGTTTGGGTTCAGACCCCAACTCTGACCACTGCCTCACTGGGTGGATTCTTTGTTTCAAGGAAAACACAGGGAGACTGAGGTGTGATGAAAAGATGGCTGGAACCCTGGGCAAGTCCCTGAAGCTCTCTGAGCCTCAGTCTTTTTGGTACCTCAGTCTTCACATCTATCAAATGAGAGAATGAAACTATACCACATGAGTACTGTGACTTAAGTCAGATAGGAACTACATTTGGCAGAATGTAAGATCTTTTTGGGGAAATGAACCACTGACCATCACTAACATCATCATTCCCACTCAACCCCAACCAAATCCTTGGAAGTCACCGATTTCAATAATCCCAGTGCTGTAGGCCGTAAGAGTAAGTTTTTACATGTTAGGCAAAAGATGAAATTTAGATCTTAGAATGAAAGTGTATTATTCCATCTAAGACATCACACTTCTTAGGCTGTAACAGCTGAAACCCATGTTCTAGGCAGACCAGGCTATTCCTATTTGAAGTGATCCCTCTCCCTAGGCCTGCTGCCCCCACAATCTCTGCAGGTACAATTGAAATGTGCACCTTAAGGCTAGCTGCAACACCAGTCTATCTTATACTCACTTGATTTCCCAGTAACTTCCCTCTTCTGACCAGCCAAGGCCCTAGTTTCATATTTTTATTTTAGTTTTTATTAAATTATACCAGATATTCTGGTTAGCAATCTATGGCTTAACTCTTCTACTTAACCCTGAGAAATGCTGGCACATTCTGCAGATGTTTTGAGGTCGGGGGACTAGATTTCTTACTCAGTCTTCCGGCCTCCCCAGGGAGACCTGCAGTCATTTCCAAGGTGCCTGTGCATTGAGGAAGGGAAAGTAATCAAACTTTAGGGGATTACTGAACACAAGTTCCAAAAAGACACTAATTCCCAAAGAACCAAACTGTCACTGTGGTCCACCAGTCAGAACAGGACTGATGGAGGGCAGGTGATCCATGGAGTTTCAGCTCAGGCCCATCTCACAGTGGGCTCCCGACCCACCCACAACTGCGGGTATTTCCCCAGTTTCAGGATATATAATTGGAATAGATATATGCAGCAACCACTAAAATCCCCACATGAAATTCAGTTTTTTGAGCTGAGAGGAACAAATAAAATTTACTTAAGTTTTATAATTCCCTTGTCTGGTATAATCTGACAGTTGTATAAGATTAATAAGAGTTACAAATTTAGCTTCCTTCCCAGAGAGGGAGAAAACAGGCAGGTTATTTGGAGATAGTAAGGATTTGAGGTAAATTAGCCTGTGAAAGCCTACTGGGTTCCAGGTACTATTTTAAAAGTTTATTATGTGAGCTATCTCATCTTACCAGGCACCGTTTTACAGGTGGGGCAACTAAGGCTGAGAAAGGCTTCAGAGTCTGCCCGAGGGCCCTTACCATGAGTAACTGGGGGGGATAGGAGAGAACCCCCACAGCAAGTCCTCCCCCCAGACCATGCTGTCTCCCAGCTCACAGAGGGCTAAAAAGTGTTCTTCCAAGAGAGGCAGGCCTGCCTTTGGGGACAGTTTTACTACCTTTCCCTCAAGTCTGACAGTCAGGTGACCATAATATAAATTATGTATTTCAAAACATATCCTATGCCACAGTCCACAGGGAGAGAAGATGCTTAAAGTAAACCCAAGAACAAAACCAAGCAGGTGTCTTGCATCTCATTAGTCATGGAAATTCATCAGTAGTGCTTAAGTTCCCAATAAAAACATGGCTTGCTTCGCTGAAAAACGTGAGGCCAGCAGGCTCAGCATAAAGACAAGCCAGTAGGAGCTTTGGAAAGACAGGCACTTCCTGTAAAGAAATACAAAATGCTCTAGATTTTTACAAGCCTATCCTTAAGCCTTCTCCAGAAGTTAGATTTCCAGGTTTTAGTCAACGCCACTTCAACAATTTCTGAGCACACATTGCTCTTGAGACAGAGGTGCGGTGAGCTGAGGGGCATCCCTGCCCTTACATAGGCTTCTGGTCATTAGAAGCAGAATGACTACAGCTGTGAGAACTAGGAAGCGGGCCCGGATCTGCCAGAAGAGTTGGGAGAGAAGCTGGGATGAGAGGAAGGCAGGCTGAGAATAACTGCGAGAGGCCCTGCAGCTGCGTCTCCCAGGATGAGGGGAGTGGGCACAGGAGCAGGTGGGTGTGCGCCAGGGACACGAGTAGTCTGGATAATCACAGAAGAGTTTCTGTAGATGTGCCGGAATGAGGCTGGATATCTTCTAAGGTGGATTTAGACTCCAAGAAATGGGAAGTGACTGAAAGTTCTTAATACATTTTATTTATTTACTTATTTTGAAACGGTCTAGCTCTGTTGCCCAGGCCAGAGTGCAGCCAATCACAGCTCACTGCTGCCTCTACCTTCTGGGCTCAAGGGAGCCTCCTGCCTCAGCCTCTCGAATAGAGTAGTGGGGATTACAACCATGCACCACCACGCCCGGCTATTCTTTTCTATTTTTAGTAGAGACAGGGTCTCCTTATGTTGCCCGGGCTGGTCTTGAACTTCTGGGCTCAGGCAATCCTTCCACCTCAGCCTCCTTAAGTACTGGGTAATTATAGGCATGAGCCACCACGCCTGGCCACTGACGTATTTTAGAGATGTGTCGCTTACAGAATCTACAAGTCACCAATTTTAAGGCATACCATTTAAGTAAGCCATATAGGCTGCTGACAACGCTATGGGCACACCATTGACTAAGTCAACCGCTGATTTCAGAGACGTTAAACTGTGAAAGAGCATATCTTGGACAATGAAACAAGTTCCTTATGGAGGCATGAGGGGTTGGCGATGGGAGACAGCCTAGTGGCCGACTGACTTATCAAGAGGCTCTGAAACCTGGTGAAGTGAGGGCTGGCAAGGGAGGAGGTGAGAAGAGGATGTGAAAGGTCTTAGAAGTTTAGGATAAATAAGATTTAATAACTTGTCACATAAGATGGAAAGGAAGAATTCAGAGAGTGCTCTGCCATTCCTCTCTGGTTACTCGAAACTGCTATCTATTCAGATAATAATTACATTTCCTCTCACAGGTGAGGAGACTCAGGAGCAAAAGATTAAGTAACTTGCCTAGTTGAGGGCAGGACCTTGAGTTTCCATAGGCTAGATTCTCAGCAGAAGCACTGTGACTGCCTTAGTGCCTGCAGCAAAATCGCACACCTGGATGTGCTAGTTCCCACAGCAGACTCTGATGCGTGCCCCCCAGAGTTTAATGTTCATCCAGTCCCTCGTGATGGTCCAACCACACAACATGCAGATCTGTCTTTCAGCAGAGGACTAATTAGGACTTTGACTTACGCACACTTCAGCAATTCAGCAATACATATAGGAAGTCTTAGAAATGCTCGATCCATTTGAAAGAAAAATCCCACTTGAGGAATTCATTCCAAAAGTGTCAAAAAGACACAAAACAAACAAGCCTCCCCACCCAACAAAAAAACACACACCAAACACCAGAGACACTCAGAACTGGTATTCCATACAGAGTAAGTCAAAGTGGAGGATTGGAAAACTACTGTCCAAGAATGAGAATGAGTAACAGTTAACTATGGTAATACCAATTGGCTGAAAGTTTTAAAGGACCATATTATACTTCAACAAAAGTTTACTTAAAAAGCCAAAAGAGAAAGTCACATAGCATGTAATAAGCAAGTTTTAATGTGAAGGGGGGAAAAGGGCAGAATATTAAAATTATAAAGTTATGTCTTAAGAAAAAGGATGAGGGAACCCCGAAAAATGAAGTTTGAATAAATTATGACTATAGCCATCCCTGTTTAATTAGGAGTTGTACATTAAAATATTTTAGTTAAAGAGCTGGCTCAGCCAAAGATCTGTCCTAAGAAGCTAAAGACACGGACCCATCCTGGCACATCTTCCCAAAGAAATATGAAAATGCAGACCAAGAATTGGTCCCATTCTCAATGATTTTGTGCTGTTATGTCATTATAAAGAGGCTGGGTACCATAGCAACACCACAGGGTGTGTCCAAAGTACTTCCTAAGATTAACAGACTTGTTCTGTTGGCTGCCAGGGCAAAACACAGTGTCCAAAAGAGGACAAGAGTAAACCCACCGGCCGGACAGGGGCTGTAAAGCCAGCCAGGCCTGGGGTCAACATTCCCTCTACTACCTGCCCCCAATCCCCCAATTACATAGCTATATGATCCTGGGCAAATTTCTTAGAACACTAAGAATCTGTTTAGTTTTTTATAAATTGAGAAGAAACACCTACAGCACTGGACTGCTCTAAGGCTTAACTGTGACATACAAAGCACCTTGAATGGTGCCTGGACACTAGAGCAGACTGCTACTGGGTGTGAATTATGCTAATGTCTCTGGACACCACTGGCAGCTGTCCAACACGGTCACAAGGCAGCCTGTCAAGAACATGGACACTGGAAAGAGCATCTGGATGTAAACCTAGGCCCTGACCTTTCTCTAGTGTTGTGCTGGACAAGCAACTTGACCTTGATGGACACTGACGTTCTTGTCTGTAAGAACAAGTTATATAAACACCAACTTTACAGTGGTGATGATTAAATGAGAAAAGGAGTATGAAAATACTACGAAATGCTAGCTATTACTACTTGGAACATTACAGGGGTTTGTTAAAATGTAGAATCCACCAGCCAGGCAGAGAGTTGGGGTACCCCTAATCCATGGCAGTCCGGGCTCAAGTATCTCTCTCCATATGCATGGGCCTTGCCACACACCTAAGCCTCAGCTCTTGCCAGGCTTGTTTCTGATTTACCCTTTTACAACTCATCCTTCCTTTCCCCAGATTTAGTCCACATTCCTGGCAGCTGATTCACCCAGAGCACCTCTTACAGGCTGCAGTGAAGTAACATCTATTGTACTGTAACCATCTCTTCCATTAGACTGGGCACTCACGGTGGAATGAAATCAAGTCTCTGGGTTCCCCACAGTATACCACATGCACACCTAGGTGGTCGATAAGAGGGTGAAATAAATCAAGATAAAAGTCATGCGCTGGAGAGGTGTAAAAAGAGAAAGAACACAGAAAGTAGTAGTAGGGTATGCAGAATATGCAAGTTAAAGACAACTAGGTCAGGATCCAGAATTTAGAAGTCACTAAGGAGGGTTCCTAGCCCTACAGATACCAGCAAAGGCCACATTTGAGGTGAATATGAGCAGACTACAAGTTCTACTTAGGAAGCACCCCTCGAGAGTTTATACTATAAAAAGCCTTACCCAACGCAACCCCAATTAACCAAAGCTCTCAATTAAGGAAGGGCTGCTTCTGTCTCCTGGGGCTGGTACCTAAAATCCCCAATGCACATAAAAAGTAGTCGGTCAGGAGCAAGAAGTCTGTGTGGTTGCCCCAAGTCATTCAAGAGTAGAGCAGAGAGCAGGTGGGGTCCCTGGCAGCTGAGACACACAGAAGGAACCAACAGAAATCAGCAGTGCCACAAGCACTGATCAATATACAACTAAAAACAAAGAGGAGCCATTAGTTTCTTTCTTTTTTTTTGGAGACAGTCTTGCTCTGTCGCCCAGGCTGGAGTGCACTGATGCGATCTCAGCTCACTGCAGCCTCTGCCTCCCGGGTTCAAGTGATTCTCCTGCTTCAGCCTCTTGAGTAGCTGGGATTACAGGCGCCCGCCACCACGCCCAGCTGATTTTTTGTATTTTTAGTAGAGACAGGGTTTCACCACTTTGGCCAGGCTGGTCTCCACCTCCTGACCTGAGGTGATCCGTCCACCTCGGCCTCCCAAAGTGTTGGGATTACAGGTGTGAGCCACCGCACACGGCCTGAGCCATTAGTTTCTGAGTAAAATATGATTATGCCCATTTTACAACCAAGAAAAACAGAAGAACCTAGAACTTAAGCTACCTGTCCCAGCAGTACCCCACAGCAGTTAAGAAAGCATACTCAAGTTTGAATGTCTGGCCTTGAATCCTGACTTGGTTACTTGCTTAGCTGTTTTACATTGGGCAATTTCACTAACCTTGGTACCTCAGTTGCCTCACCTATAAAATGAAGATAATCACGGTACTGACTTCACCTGATACATAGCAACCTGCAAGTTTCAGCTCTTATTTACAGGGTGAAACTGGGATTAAAACCTTCTGACTCTGAGTCTAGCATTTTATTGTATTGTGTTAACTTATATTTCCCCAATGCCAGCCAGCTCTCTGCCTCTTGACCTGGCGGCTCTCTAAACTCTGAGACCCAAGCCACAGAAGAGGATTCAGAGTTGCTTTTCTAAGGGCTGGGGAGGGAACGGCCTTGCTCTGCTCTGAAGGTTCCCTAGGCACTCGACAAGTTGGGGAAGTTTGCAGGCTGACAACCCATCTATTGCTAAGACCCTGGTCTATCCTATACTATTATAGTTCCTCCCTCAGCTTCTTCCTTCCCCTGCTTCCCCAATGCCCCTAACTAAACTCCCAGACAACTGTACTATTTTCTAAGATGCTACCACTTGTGACCCTGCATTATGTTCATGTGGGCATGCGTCCTCTGCATGCCTCGTGGAGAAAAACTCTGCATGGCCTCTTATAGTAGCCTGGCTCAAAGCCACTTGGTGTGCAGGCAAGATTACTTTCCAAGGCCTCGGTTCCCAGCCACCTAAAGGCATCGACATCAAACAATTGGTAAAGAACAATTAGTGTCTTATCAAGTTGAGTGTAAGCTAGGCTCCCGGCTCTCCCAAACTTCTAACTATTCTGTTATATGAGTCTTGAGAGTTTGTCCTGGATTAGTGTCTGTGAGTGTGTCCTCACTTGCTATTTGTCAGAAGAATCAGTGTGTGCCTTAGACAAAGCAACAGAATTTCTGACTGACAGTGACTCAGGCTTGCCTGCTGTCTAAGTGGCAGTAATCTTGAACTTTGTTTTAGGCACATTCAGGACAGGCATTCTCGCAATGGAAAACAAGGGGATAAAAGCAAACTGTTGATGCCTTCACCCCCCCAACCTTTATGTGAGAAGTATTTCAAAGTTAAAAACATAGGCACCAACCCTTCAACCAAATAATTTACAGGATTGTAAATGTGGTTTTAAAAAGCCTGGGAGGCTGGTTTGAGTGCTATCACTAACTCATTGTGGATAAAAGTTTTGTCCCTTTTCTGGGCTTCAGTTTCCTTCCTTGTGAAACAGGCAGCCAGGTCACACATCTAAGACCTCTTTCTATTCCTCCGAAGCTTCTGCTGTCTTAATGCCTCTGGGTAGGACGTGTTTGGTCTGTGCACAGAATGGAAGGAGACAATGCATTTAAGGCTATCAAACAAAATGGGGTAAGACCAAGAACAGCATTTCAAGACATTTCTCTTTTCGATACTGGATTATTTTACTGGCCAAATAGTGAAACGGACTCCCTTTGTCTCTTCGCCTATCCACAGTCCTAGGCACCCTACTTTCAAGCCCACCTTCTCCCTAACTCCTGATTCTCTTTCCTCTTAATTCTTGTGCAAAGCCCTTGCTTATGAGTTGACTGGTCATTTCCTCCAGTGATCTTGAATAGCATTTAAATCTTCTTCCAGTTCTCAAACTTTTCAAATGTAAGTTCCATTGGGGCAAGGGGTGGTGTGTTTTGCTTTGCTTTTTTTCTTTCCCTTCAAATACCACAGTAGGGACTCAGCATTAGGTTTAGTTGAGACTTCAAGGCAGATTCACACTTTTTGGCCTGTTCAAAATCATTCTGAGTTTTAGGAGGCAGGGCCAAGGGTGACTGTAAAGGACTTTTCTATTTAATGAGAGAGCTGAACCAGGTTATCTCTACGATTCCTTCCAGCTTTAACATTACTGGGTGGTATTTGCATGCTGTAAACCCAAGGCCCCAGGACAGATCAAGACCCCTAAATTTTGGAATCCAGAATAAGCAAAGTTTAACCTGGAGTAATTTTGGTATCTGTTCTCTATTTTAAGAAGCAAAAATGATTACCTATTTACTACTTGAAAAATCCACACATTGCAAGTCAGCTTGAATGTCATTTTCATAAGCAGAAACAACACATATTTTCTTCACTGCTCTGTCTCTGAGCCCTGAACACCGTAGAGGTTCAAATATTTTAAAGACTCCAAACAACTGAAAGGGACCAATCCAATCCAGTGTACGGCCTAAAGCAAAAGATTTCATTTTTCTAGGTCCCAGTTTTAGTTCACAAAGGGAGGATGAAAACACCAGTGTTTCTGTCAACTTGGTGTGCCTGACAACACAGAAAACAAGGTGTGTTCTATGATGAAACAAGTTTGGGAAACTTGAGCAAGAACAATGTGAATCTTGAAGGGGGTGAGGGTAGAAGAGTACAGAACATGGTGTGAACTTATATAAGGCAGTGAATTCCTCCCTATGTGGAGCACTTGCTGACATTAACAGTTTGCACAGTGACCCTATGTACCTAATGTCATAGGTACATACCCACTATCTTACAATAAAGGAATGCTCCTCACAGGGTTCAAACAATTTGCTCCATGTTTTGTGCAGTCAGTCCTGGGATGAGCCAGAGGGTCTAACCCCAAAGTCCATGGTACTAACCACTATGCTATGCTGCCATGGGGTCACTTTGGAATTTTGACAAATTCTTCAGGTGAGGAAAGTCCACATAGTATTTATATGTTGAGAGAGTAAGCAAGAGCTTCAAGCTGAGGTTGAAGGTTCGAGACTGGCGTCAATGAACTGAGGACACAAGGAATAAACATTCGGCAAGGCAAATTCCTACATCCCAAGGCAATCCTGTAGTAGGAAGTCCAGACCATTCATTGGCAGTAAAGGAGAAGACTAAGAGAAGTCTGAGAATAGAAAGACTTCAAAGTAAGTGATGCGCTCCTAGAATATAGGTAAGATAAACGAATCCCCTAGGGAGTCTTTTTTTTTTTTTTTTGAGACAGGGTCTTGCTCAGTCGCCCAGGTTATAGTGCCATTGCATGATAATGGCTCACTGTAGCCTCAACCTCCCAGGCTCAACTGATCCTCCTGCCTCTGCCTCTCAAGTAGCTGGGACTATAAGCCTGTGCCATCAGGTCCGGCTATTTTTTTTTCTATTTTTTGTGGAGACCAGGGTCTCACTTTGTTGCCCAGGCTGTTCCCAAACTCCTGGGCTCAAGCCATCCTCCCACCTCAGCCTCCCAAAGTGCTGGGATTACAGTCGTGAGCCATTGTGCCCTGCTGGAAGTCTTTTCAAAACAAAAACACTCACCCTGGGGAGAGGGTAGGCTTCTCAGAATGGATGGGGCACGGATGGACTTTATAAAGTTAGACATCTAATTAAAGGACTCTAGGTGATACTGATTCATGTTTCCAACTCCACTGTCAAACAACTGACTTGCAATGGGACAAAGCGTTCTCTTGGGAAAGACTTGGGGGATCTTTAAGTTGTGCAAAAGTAACAAGATTTTGGGAAACCACCCCCTCCAAACTCACCCCAAATCCTACCCACTCTTAAAAAAGTTCATCCTCAGGGTGCAGAGAACAGCATTACGCCTTCGAAAGGATCCAGGCCTCGAATCAAGACAGATCTGGGATCCCCGTCACTTAAGCTCTGAGAAATGTAAGGAAACCAGGAGTACAGTCTAACTTCCCTTTCAAGCGGATTAACCCTGATCAAGTTATTTGTTCACTTCTAAGCCTTAGTTTATTTATAGAAAAAGGATAGAATTTACTTTTGAAGTTATTACCTAAAAATTACTTCAGCACTGAGACCACAGCTGGGACTCGGATTAGTAAACTTTCTTCCCCTGGATCCTCCTGCCTCGGAAAGTCTCCTCAAACTTTCTACCGCCTCTCTCCTCTCCAAGCAGACACTTAGCTACTGGTAGTATGAAAAAGGCTTGTGAGTACTGAGTAGTTAGGATGAATACATTCCCTAACTGCAGTTAAAACCCGGAAACTAAGATAATTAGTTCCTCCAGGACTGCAAGACCTCTTGCCTCAATGTACCCCATTTTCCTTTTAAGTAAAACCACTTCCCAGCCAGCCTCTGAGGTTAAGAAAAAGATTAAGAATGTAAAACGGAGGGAAAAGATGCCGGATGCTTTGTTATGTGACAGCTCTCAGGCCACCTGTGAGGGTTGTCAGCCTGCACCCCTCAGAGGACCAAGCCAGAAGACAGTCAGTTTGCTCGGCTGCCTGGGATGAAGGGCCGGGGGCCTCAGAGGAAAAGGCAGACGAGGAAGCCACAGGAGTTTGGGGGTTGGAGCTGGAGGGTGTCAGGAAACTTGGAACCAGACAGGGAGAGGGTGTGGGTGGGTCCAGTCAAGTTTTTTCTTTTTGTTTGTTTTGGGAGGGAAAGAGAGAGGCCCTCGGGGGTGAGGAGGCTCCGCAGTTCTGCTACTAACTGAACCCGACCCCTCCTCCACTCCCCCAACCGATCTTAAAAATAGAAGACGTTTAATAACCATAGCTCGCAATTCTTGAGCACTTATTAAGTTAATGGTTAGCACTTAAACGAGCTCTTGTTATGGAAACACCAGCCAACTTTAGGCCCAGGGACTGATCTTAGGACCTGAGAAGAGAGGGCCGAATGCCTGGGCCCAGGAAAGGAGGGTGTGTCAGGGCACAGGGTGACAGGGACCAGGTCTGAGGCCTAGGAAGGCCAGGAACAGTGTGGGCCAAGCCGTCCGGAGAGCAGGGGGTCCAGGCCCTGCGTGGGTGGAAAGGCCCGCGGTGCTCCTACCTTTCAGCGAGGTCTCCACCAGGCGCAGGTAAAGCTGCGAGCTCTTGTTGCCGTGACTCATGCGCTGGGCTAACCCATTGCGCTGCAGGACGCACTCCTCAAACTGCACGACGTTCTGGTGGCGCCGCTTGAGGCTGGTGAGGGCCCAGAATTCAGCCAGCGCCAGCTCCACGTTCTCGGGGGCGTCGCAGCGGATCTTCTTGACCGCCACCCGGGCCCCGCTGCGCCCGGCCACTGCCTCATAAACCACGCCGTAGCTGCCGCGCCCGATCTCCGCCAACAGGCTGTAACGCGGCCGCGCGGACCCGCCACCGCCCTCAGGCCGTCGCCGCGCCAGGAAGGCCTCGCCCGGGGCCTCGGCCGCCACCGGATCCATGGCCCGGGCCGCCGCCGCCGGCCTCAGCTTCGTGCTGGGCGCCCGCGGCACTGGGCTTCGCCTTTTCCGCTCCGGGCTTTGTGTACCTCTGCGGGCGCCGTCCTTCCCCGTTTCCATGGCTGCGGGCGGCGGGGGGAGCAGCAACGGCGCTGCCCGGGCCCCCCCTGCCTCATCCCTCCGTCCGGCCCTGGGACGCGGAGGAGCCGGACCTTGGATTGTGACCTGCGGGCGAAAGAATCGGTTAAACGGCCAGGCCAAGGCGGGGAGGCCAGGAGCGTAGGCCGCGGGGCGTCCCACCTCCTCCTCCCCCGGCCGCCGCGGCCCCTTTAAGACGGAAGCCACCGCCGCTGATTGAACGGGGGAGGGGAGGGGAAAGCGGGAAAGACCGAACCACTGGGCAGCAGCTCAGAGGGGGAACCGGAAAGAAAAGCACAAACTCTCCGCTCTCTCTGTTAGCTTGTCATGTAGCGATAGGAAAAAGAAGAGCCAGCAAGCTTCACGCCTTCTGAAAACCGCTTAGAGACGCGATTTGGCCGGCGGAAATATTTTTCTTTGCTTGGCCCCCTCTGTGACGCTCCTCCCCGCGCCCCGCCTTGTGTTCGCCCGGGTGTAAACAGTCCATTGAATTAAGCCCTAGCGGAGCCCAGCGGACCGACCCAAGTCCCCGAGGGCGACGGGTAGAAGGGATTGGCTGAAAAGTTCGGCTTCTCGGAGTGCGACTGGCCGAGGACCCGATTTCCCTTCCCAAGCGCGGAGGCAGTGGCAGTAACTCCAGCCTCGGCGCTGGCCTTCAGTCCTCCAACGGCGCCCTTACCTGGCCCGCGCACCTCCACTTCCGGGCGGCCCGTTTCCCCCCTGGAGCCCCTGCCTGGGGATGGTCCGCTCCGGGCCCGGGCTGCCTCCGGGACCGAGCAGCGCGGGAGGTGGCGGCCCGAGCCCGG
Organism: Homo sapiens; assembly: GCF_000001405.40. Classification (NCBI taxonomy): domain Eukaryota; kingdom Metazoa; phylum Chordata; class Mammalia; order Primates; family Hominidae; genus Homo; species Homo sapiens. The sequence goes on along the minus strand of NC_000020.11, from coordinate 2,102,048 downwards.
CGTGTAGCGGATCCTTCTGCTGCCGCGGCGCTCGCTGGGGAAGCCTGGGCTCCTAGGCTCCCGTGGCTTTCCACGTGTTCGCGCCAGCTGAGCCCTTTACATAACCTCTTTACATAAGCTGCACCTCCCGCCGGCGCCCGGGCCAGCGGAGACTCCTGGTGGCCCATCCCCCGGGACGCCAGCCGAGTGAGCCCTGCACCGCCCGGTCCTGCAAAGGTCGACGGAGCAGCCGCAGCCGAGCGCACCGGCACGCCTTGCCGGGACCCAATCACTGGCGAGAACACCCAGCCAACAAAAAATAGGCGCGAAATTCCCGTGATCCGCGGCGGGCTCCGGGTCTCCGCAGCGGCCCGCGCATCACTATCCCTTCTCGCCTGATCTGCGTGAAGACCAACCGTCCGCAGTAGGCGCCTAATAAATACTGACTGGGTGATTGTCTTGGTCGTTTGATTCATAGCTCTGTCCTGGGAACCTCAGGGACTGGGTTGGAATCCCGACCTTCCCTTCTACCAGCCCAGTGATCTTGTGCAAATCATTGACCCACCCTGAGCATCCGTTTATCTAATGATCCTCTGCAAAATGGATAGAATGGGCTTTAATTCCCAGGAATGATAGACCCAAATGAAATACCTAGATGGAGGCTAATTGGGTGTGGGGCTGTTAGTACCCAAAGCTCCCATTTAGGCACAGATTTTTGAATATTTTGTTCTGTATTTTGTATTCCAGTGTAGGCCTAGTGGGTGCCCAGTGTTTGTTAACTGAATCTACAGATGTTTATTGAACACCCGTAATGTGCTAGGCACCATTCCAAGTCGCTGGGGAAAGAGCAATAGACAAGGCAGTTTCTGCCTTGGTTGAGGTTCTGTGCCACTGCAGGAGACAAACCACATGGGTGGCCTTGGGCAAGTTAGTCAACCTTCTTGTGTATTTGTTCCTTACCTGTAAGAAGATCCACAGAGGTTATACAGGTAAAGCACTTAGGACAGCCTTGCACACAATGTTAAGTATTATTAAATAAATGCACAGGATAATTTTTGCCAGTGGTAAGTGTGATGGAGAAAAAGAATGAGCTAAAGAGTGCTCACTGGATACAGGCCATTTCTTATAATGTATTTGGTCGCTGAAAACCTCTTAACTTTTTTGTGATTAAATTTCAAATTTACACATAAATTTCAAGAATCGTAAAGATCATATACTTTTCCACTAGAATAACAAATTGTTATATTTTGCTGCATATCCATATCCTCTCGTGTATGTGTATATATACACACAAATACATATTGTGTGTGGATATCTATATGGTATATACCCCAAAAGAAAGGAAATCAGTATACGGTATATAGATATTCACACACACACATATATAATGTATATATTCTTTTTTACTACATCATTTTAGAGTTTCCAACATCAAACTCCTTTATCCTAAATATATGTGTGTGTTTCCTTAAAAAAAAGACATTATCTGGCATAATCTCAGTACAGTGGTCAAAAATCAGGAATTTTAACAATGATACAATTGTTTTATTTAATACACTCCATCCATATTTAAATTTTGCTAATGGTCCCAATAATGTCCTTTATAGCTATTCCCCAGGATCCAATTCAGGATCAGACGTTGCACTGAGTTGTCATGCCTCTTTAGTTTCTTTTAATCTGGAAGGGCAGTTAGTTATCCAGCCTTTCTTTGTCTTTCATGACCTTGACATTTTTGAAGAATACTGGCGAGTTATATTGTAGAATGTCCCTAAATTTTTATTCATCTGTGTTTTCTTATTAGTTTCAGAGTATCCATTTTTCTCTCCTCCCCCACCCCCCACCAACCCATCCCTTGCTATTCTGAGAGGGTATGCATTTTTTGGCAGGACTACTGCTGAAAAAAGTTGCCTCCTCAGGGCCTTTCATCAGGAGGCACATGGCATTGTGTTTGTCCCAGTATTCGTGGTGTTAACTTCCATCATTTGGTTGAGGTGGTGTAGGAGTAGTTACACTCTACCATAAAGTTACGATTTTTCCTTCTGTAACTATTAAGTATTCTGTGGGAAGATATTTTGAGACTATTTAAATATCCTCTTCTTTAGACTCTTACCCACTGGTTTCAGAATTCATGGTGATTCTTGCTTGAAACAATTATTACAGTTGCAAAATGGTGATCAGAAGGTCTTTTTAACCATAACCTTTTTTCTATTTCTGTGAAGAATGTCATTGGTATTTTGATAGGGATTGCATTGACTCTTTAGATTGCTTTGGGTAGTATGGACATTTTAACCAATGTTGATTCTTCCTATCCATGAACATGAAATATCTTTCCATTTTTTGTGTGTCCTCTTCAATTTCTTTAATCAGTGTTTTATAGTTTTCATTATAGAGATCTTTCATTTCTTTAAATTAATTCCTAGGTATTTTTATTTATGGCTATTGTAAATGGGATTACTTTTTAAATTTCTTTTTCAGATTGTTCACTGTTAACATATAGAAATGCTACTGATTTTTGTATGTTGATTTTGTATCCTGCAACTGTACGGAATTTGTTTATCAGTTCTAACAGTTTTTTGGTGGAGTCTTTAGGTTTTTCCAAATATAAGATATAATATGCAAACAAGGATAATTTAACTTTTTCCTTTCCTATTTGGATGCCCTTTATTTCTTTCTCTTGCCTGATTGCTCTAGCTAGTACTTCTAGTACTTCTAGTACTGTGTTGAATAACAGTGGTGAAAGTGGGCATCCTTGTTGTATTCCAGATCTTAAAGGCTTTCAGTTTTTCCCCATTCAGTATGGTACTAGCTGTGGGTTTGTCATATATGGCTTTTATTATGTGGGGGTATTTTCCTTCTATTCCCAGTTTTTTTTAGGGTTTTTATCATGAAACCATGTTGAATTTTATCAAATGCTTTTTCAGCATCAATTGAAATGATAGTATGGTTTTTGTCCTTCATTCCGACAGCCTTATTTTATCTTAATTACCTCTTTAAAGACCTTATCTTCAAATATAGGCACATTCTAAGGTACTGGGAATTATAACTTCAACATGAATTTGGAGTGAGGAGGGACACAATTCAGTCCATAATAGCCTCTTTGGCATTTGACATTTGAATTGAAACCTGAATGTCAAGAACCCAGCTCTGAAACCGAATGGGAAGTCATTCCAAGAAGAAAGAAGAACAAGTACAAAAGCCATGAGATGGATACAAGCTTGTGAAACCAGCCATGTGGTAAGATTTTAAAATGGTACAACCACTTTGGGAAAAAAAAAAAAAACCAGTTTGGCAGTTTCTTATAAAGTTAAATATATGTCTACCCTGTGGCCCAGCAATTCCATGGGTCTCAGGTAAATGAAAACTTCTGTTAATAAAGCAACTTGTATAGGAATTCACAGTGGCTTTTCCCATAAGAATTCCAAACTGGAAAATGCTGCAGTGTTCAGCAATAAATGAATGGATAAACAAATTGTGGTATTCCCATACAATGAAATGTTGCTGAGGGTGTGTTGATGGGGGGAGGAATAAAGTATTGATACAACAGCATGTATGAATCAAAATAATTATGCTGAGTGAAAGAGGCCAGGCACAAGAGAGTACCTGCTAGATGATTCTATATACAATTCTTAACAATACAAACTAATTTGTAGTGACAGAAAGCAGATCAGTAGTTGGGGTAGGAAGGGTGGATAGAAAACAAAAGGACATAAAACTTTTTGGGGTGATGGGTTATCTAGACTGTAGTAATAGTTTCAAGATAGGAATATATTAAAACACTTCAAATTGTACCCTTTATATTAGGTGTATTTATGTAAATCAGTTTTACAACTTAATAAAGCTATAAAAAAATTGGAAAAGAACACATACTATAATTCCATTAATATAAAGTCAACCAACAATAGTCTAGAGTGGCAGAAATCGTATCAGTGGTTGTTTTTCAGGTGGGAATTGATTGCTGAGGGCCACAGGGGAATTTTCTGGGTGATGGAATTTTATTGTGTGTAAATTGTACCACGACAAAGTTGAATTAAAACATAAAAAAAAAAAAAAAAAAGCCAAAACCCTGTAGCTGCGAACACTTGTGTCTTTACTTAGAAGTTTCTAAGGACAGAAGGCTGCATTGTGTGGCCCTGGCCCCATTCCTGTATCACTGGCTTCGTAGGTTTAGCACAGCCAGCAGTGTCTTTCCTCCTGGCTAGTTTTCCTATCTGATTTTGTTTTGTTTTGTTTTCTAATACACATATACATGTTTTTATTTTGTTTTTAGGCATCTTACCTATTTATCCATCTATTTGAGAGAGGGTCTTGCTCTGTTGCCCAAGCTTGGAGTGCAGTGGCATGATCATGGCACACTGCAGCCTTGACCTCCTGGGCTCAAGTGATCCTCCCACCTCAGCCTCCTGAGTAGCCGGGACTGTGGGCACATGCCACTAGGATTTTACCATGTTGCCCAGGCTGGTCTCGAACTCCTGGCTCAGCCATCCTCCCACCTTGGCCTCCCAGAGTGCTGGGATTACAGGCATGAGCCACTGCACCCGGCCTATTTACTTTTTATAATTCCAGCTTGTTTTTTTAGATTTTGGGGTACCTGTGCAGGTTTGTTACATGCATATATTGTGTGATGCTAAGGTTTGGGATACAGTTGAGCCCATCGTCCAGGTAATGAGCATAGTAACCAGTAGCTTTTCCACCCTTGCCCTTCCCTCCCCACCCTAGTAATACACAGTGTCTACTCCTGTCTTTATGTCCATGAGCACCCATTGTTTACTCCCACATATAAGTGAGAACATGCGGTATTTGGTTTTTGGTTTTCTGTTCCTGAGTTAATTTGCTTAGGATAATGGCCTCCAGCTGTATCCCCCACCTGAATTTTGAGAGAGATTGAATATGAAGTTCTGGGAGGACCACAAGGAGTGTGAATCCTTTTATATGCTGTTAAGAGGGCTGGACTGCTTGATAAATCATTTGATGCCTTGACCAAATTTTTAGTTTTTGTTTTTGTCTTGCTTAACTTATGGAAGTAACCTATACTTTACTGTTAGGACTAATAGCCAACATTTACTAAAGTTTTCTGTCTGCCAGGCACAGGGATTAACAAAGAATTACGACAATTCCATGAGGTAGTGACTTTCATTAGCCCCATTTTACAGATGAAGAAACCGAATGTGAAGCTGGCACAGCTGGGTTTCAAACTGAGGCCCCAGACACTCCACATCTCTTGATCGCACTCAGCCCCTCCCCAGGCTAAGCAGTGTAAACGTTACAGCGAGCCCTCTTCTACATCTTTCTTGTTGACAAACATGCCTGCCTCAGTATCCCTGGAACCTCAGACAGTACCAAACATCTGACTGAGCTCAATATTTAGTGATAGAAGAAATGTAGAAGAGAAGAGCAGCAGTGAGGTTTTTTGTTTGTTTTTTTAAATGGAGTCTCACTCTGTTGTCCAGGCTGGGGTGCAGTGGCATGATCTCGGCTCCCTGCAACCTCTACCTCCTGGATTCAAATGATTCTCCTCCTCAGCCTCCCGAGTAGCTGGGATTACTGACACCTGCCACCACACCTGGCTAATTTTGTGTGTGTGTGTGTGTTTTAGTAGAGATGGGGTTTCATCATATTGGCCAGGCTGGCCTCGAACTCCTGACCTCAAGTGATCCATCCACCTTGACCTCCCAAAGTGCTGAGATTTCAGGCGTGAGCCACCGTAACCGACCAAGCAGTGAGGTTTTCAGCCCTTTTAGCAGGCCAGGGATGCGGAAGGAAGTCCTTTCTCTGCTGAGCACAGAGAGCTGCATGGAATGTCACATCATTGGTTGTGCTCTCTACACTCAAGGAGTCGCTGACACTGGCTGAATAAAGCAATGGCTACACTTTTACTGTAAGAAAAGTCATTCATTTAACATTTTTTGAACCCTTACTCCTCTATGTGCAAGGCAGTTTGGGAGCTGATGTATGGGGATGAGCAGGAGAAAACTCAGTGTCTGCCTTGAGGGGCTGACACAGACAATATGACAGTGCAGTTATGCAGTCCCACATCACAGTAGACCCATTAGGGACCAGAAAGTAAACAAAAGATAGCAAGGGATGGAGGCTGGGCATGGTGACTCATGCCTGTAATCCCAGCACTTTGGGAGGCCGAGGCAGGCGGATCACCTGAGGTCAGGAGTTCGAGACCAGCCTGACCAACATGGAGAAACCCCGTCTCTACTAAAAATACAAAATTAGCCGGGCATGGTGGCACACACCTGTAATCTCAGCTACTCAGGAGGCTGAGGCACAGGAATCACTTGAACCCAGAAAGCAGAGGTGGCAGTAAGCTGAGATTGCACCATTGCACTACAGCCTGGGCAGCAAGAGCGAAACTCCGTCTCAAAAAAAAAAAAAAAAAAAAAAGATAGCAAGGGATGGGGTCGATGGTATTCTAGAATGGGTGGTTTGGGGAAAGCTTTCTAAGGAGGTGACCATTGAGCAGGGACCTGATTTAAGTTAAAGAATAGGTCAATTGCATCTCTACTGGAAGAGCATTTCAGATCAGAGGGAAGAGCAAAGGCCCTAGGTGGGAGGGAGCAGGCAAGGAGGCCAGTGTGGCCTGAGCTGAGTGAATGGGGGAAGAGTGGTGGGAAACACAGGAAGAGGGATGTGTGGGGCCCCATAACGAGGCAGGGACTCAGGGGCCATGGAAAGAATGGTGGAGTTACTGAGTGCTTGCTATATGCCAAGCACTTACGGTCGGTGATGTGGCTGGACCCCATTGGCCCTCCTTTCACACGAGAGTGCTGAAGCTCGGATAGGTAAGAACCGTCCCAAGTGAGAAGGCAGAATAGTAAGGCTGAGGCTGGTGATCCATCTCTGTACTTCAGGGGGCTGAGGACACCCGAGGGGCAGCCAGCCCTGGGGGTGGTGCCATGGGAAAGCAGGGAGCTTCGTCCTGGGAGGGAAGGGTGGATGGAGTAAAGGAGTGTGGGGGAATGGAAGGTAGGAGACAGGGGGCTGAGACTGCTCCAGGGGGCTGGAAGAGGGATTATGCGGAGTGAGGAGGAAGGATTGGGGCTGAGGATTAAGGACAGAGGTGGCATGGGGGTAGGGGCTAGGAATGAGGTGGTGTGGTGGTTGTAGAAGGGGGAGCCGAGCGTGGGAGAGGGTTAAAGGCAGAGAGGCTGGCACAGGGGTATAGGAGGAGGATCTTGGGAGCAGGAGGTGCTGAAGACTGAAGCTTGAGGTGGCTGCCTCAATGAAGGAGATCCCCTGAGCAGGGAGTACTAGGGAGGCCTGGAGGAGTGTGTGCAGTCGCCTTGGAGAGCTCCCCTCCCATAATGGCTCTGGATTTTCAGAGGGCTCCAGGAAGGCTGTCTCCAGGAAACGCTAGAGCTTGTCATGATGCCTAACACCACACAACTCGCAATAACTCTATATGGGAGAGGCTGTTTTCGTCCCCATTTTATAGATGGGAAGACTGGCCACATGTGGTGGCTCACGCCTGTAATTCCAGCAGTTTGGGAGGAAGAGGTGGGTGGGTCACCTGAAGCCAGGAGTTTGAGACCAGCCTGGCCAGCATGGTGAGACCCTGTCTCTACTGAAAACACACAAATTAGTCAGACGTGGTGACGCATGCCTGTACTCCCAGCTACTTGGGAGGCTGGGGTGGGAGAATTGCTGGAACCTGGGAGGCAGATGTTGCAGTGAGCCAAGATCATGCCCTGCACGCCAGCCTGGGCGACGAGTGAGACTCTGTCTCAAAAGAAAAACAAAGACAACTAGGAAGACTGAGGGTTGGAAGTTGCTACATCACCAATGACCGGAATACCTGGTATTTGGACCCCAGCAGCCTTAGGTTTGGGTATCCATGTTTTCAACCATTAGACCTATGGCTCTCAAGCTTGAGTGCCCAATCCACTGGCATCACCTGGAGAGCTGATTAAAACCCAGATAGCTGGAGCCACCCACAGTGCGACTAATTCAGTAAGTCTCGGGTAGAGCTTGATAATTTGCATTTCTGACACGGTCGCAGATGATGCTGATGTTGACGCTGTTATCCCGGAACCATGCTTTGAGAACCACTACATCACACTGTCATGTTCCTAGACTGAGCACAAAGCAGAGGGAACTGGAGAGGATTTGAGTTCTGGTAAGAATTCGAGGATGAATAGGAGCTGAATGAATTACCTAGGAAACTAAGCAAATAAAACATGAAGCGATTATTAAAGGCAAGAAAACAAAAACAATTGATAAGAAAAACATTGTAATCATCATAAACTACAACACTCAGCTGGAAATAATATTACATTGTCATTGTCATGTAAAACAGCACTTTGACTTAACCAAAAATTATGATATAATTATATTGGGAGACTTGGAGACGGAAAGTGTGTCTGTGTGTATGGTGGAGGGGGAAGAAAAGGAGAGATAACTAAATCCTTATCTTCCATAGCCGTGAGTTAATAAAAAAAAATTTAAATCAAGGAGCGATCCCATAATCAAGTGTGGAAAAATAACTACAGAATTAAAGTTACTGCTTCTGGGATGGGATCAGAGGTGAAACAGGATTTTTGTTATAAGCTTTGTGGTAGTATTTAACTTGTAATGGTATCTAACTCAAACATTATGTCTATTTATCATTTGGATTAAAATTGAAATTAAAACTAAAAGTGGGCATGAGCTTTAGCCACCACTGAAGCAGCCTGTCAGCTTGGTGGCGCTGTTCAGCTTCTGGCCAAGGGGTTCACCTGTCCTCCTTGTATTACCTAAACACATCTGGAGGGCTAACAATAGTACCCTTATCACACTTGGGGAACACTGGATTAGAGACACTGCACCCAGTAATACTCAACAGAGAGGCTTCTTGTCTATTAAATGAGGGTCTCAGTTACAGAAAACAAAGATGGGTGCAGATAACAGCCACCCTGTCTCCAAAACTTAATAGATGGGTCTAATTTCAAGTGTTCTTCCTACTGGCCACTGAAAAGGCTAAGAAATGTCTGACATTTCTTCCTCTCCCATTTGGGAATGGCATACAAATTTTTGTCAGGCTATGTATCTGAATATTTGCTGCAGGAAATTGGTTGCTAAGTTCTTAGGAGTTGTTTATGATTTTTGGAAAGATAAAGGGCTATAATGCCAAATGAGCAGGGCAAAGTCCTTAATTCTGTAACTACTGGGACATTCAAAATAAATTATTGGGGCGTCTGGTTAAAATGTACACAACCATAAGGCAACAAAGTACACTCACTAATCAAAATGTAAAGTGATACAGTCTTTTAGAAAGGCAAATTGATAACTCATTGTTTATTAATATAATTAAAAATTAATACACTTTGATCAGCTATTCCGTTTCTAGGAATTTATCCTATAGAAGTACTCACATGGTGTGGAAAAATATATGTGCAACAAGGATTTTATTGTGGTGAGATATATATATATATATATATAAAATAATAATAAAATATTAGAAACAATACCAAAAGTAGAGGCTTGGTTACACAGGGTCATCATATATTTAAATACATGCCCATCAAAAGAAGGAGTTAGCTCTGTATGTACTACCATACAATACATGTACACAATATTTTGTTACATAAAAAAGCAAATGCAAACAAGCATCTATAATATGACCACATTTTGTTTAAACATGTATACATAATTGCTAACCTTCATTGAGTTACTTCTGTGTATTCTGATGGTTCTAAGTGCTCATATGTAATAATTAATTAATTAATCCAATAAGCCTTAGGGTAGGTTTTATTTTTAGCTCTATTTTCCATAGAAACTGAGGCACAAAGAGGTTATTACTTTTTCAAGGCTATACCACTAAAAAGCGATGGAACTTGGATTCCAACCCTGGTGTATCTGATTCCAAAGCTCTTGATCTTGAACTAGCACATGATACAGCGTTTGTACTTACATGTTAATTTCTGTATACATAATGGAAACATTTGTATAAATAATACTCTAGATGCCAAGAATTCTCCCTAGGTGATTCTTTCACTTTCAGGATAATTTTGTATGATTTGAAGTTTTTATGTGCATATTTGGGTATTAATTTGAGTTCTTTTTTGTAGGTATTTAAAAAAATAAAATTCAGTTTAAAAAACAAGTAACGTACAATAGTGTAGAATGTACTTCATCACTCATTTGGTCAATGAGTACTTATTAAGCCCCTACTGTTTGCCAGACTGGGGACTGAGATGAATTGAACTCAGTTCCTATTGTAGAGGAACTCATTGTTTAGAGAAGACACGAAGAAACATCCAGTCTTGAGTCTTTTCCAGCTCTATCGCACTGTGATGCTGTTTTAGAGTTTGGTTGGTCAGTGAGAAATGAGGCTGAGCCAGTTATCAACACTCACGGTGTGCCTCTTTCAACTAATGGGAACCAGGGTCTGTGTTGGGCTCTGGACTTTATATACTACCTTTCTTTCTTTATAGAAATTATTGTAGGTTCAGCAAACATTTACTATATGTTAGCCCCCGTGTTTGAGTTGGGGATCCTGGGATGAATAAGACAGGGTCCCTGGTGGTAAAATCTCATCATATGGTGAAGAAAACTGATGTGTTTACAAACAGTTAAGTTCTCCCTTGCTGAAAATAATAACTAACATTTAAGAAGCATTTACCAGACACTGTTATAAACACTTCTCAATATAATAATTTATTGAATTCTCAATCCTGTTATTATCTCTACTTGACAGATGAGGAAACAGAGACACAGACAAGTTATGCAGCTTGCTTAAGATCATACAGCTAGGAAATTAGCCGGGCACGGTGGCTCATGCCTGTAATCCCAGCGCTTTGGGAGGCTGAGGCAGGTGGATGACCTGAGGTCAGGAGTTCGAGACCAGCCTGGCCAACATGGTGAAACCCCATCTCTACTAAAAATACAAAAATTAGCCAGCCATTGTGGTGCATGCCTGTAATCCCAGCTACCTGGGAGGCTGAGGCAGGAGAATGGCTTGAACCCAGGAGGTGGAGGTTGCAGTGAGCTGAGATCGTACCACTGCACTCCAGCCAGCCTGGGCGACAGAGCAAGACTCCGTCTCAAAAAAAAAAAAAAAAAAAAAAATTCCCACAACTTGGAAATAGTTCAGGGGAGTCCCACCTGGAGAAGTGCTTAGAGGAGCATAGCCAAAGAGTCCACCCTGTGGTAGAAAAGTCATAATAAAAATAGTATTAACCACCATAACAGTACTTGTCACAAATCATACAAAGCTTTGTGGGATTTAAAGTGCTTTCACCTATTAGACATGTCTCAACATAGGGTGGCCCAAAATGTAAGGTGTCCCTCTCACTTGTCACACTAAGAAGATTGCAGAAGAGAAAATATTTGGGGTCTCAACTTGAATATATAAATTCTTAAGGTGGTATAAATAATCAAATATCTGTGTAATATTTAATTTATTATTTTAGGTACATACACACTTTCAACATTGAGAAATATTGGATTTTCTCCCATTCTTCCATTTCACAAAACAATTCTTTTCATCTCTTTCTGAGCACCTTTGATCTCAGTCACTGGGGATGATTTCTATGTCGCTCAGCCTTCTTTCTAGGTCACATAATTTTCACTCCTATCCAAATTGTGATCCAGTACTTTTTGAGCCTCTATATGATGCTTTCTCTGAAATATTTTATCTTAGAATTCCCAGTGCACTAAATCTTAGGACAGATTGTTTTTCCATTTCTCCCATTGGTTTATATTTGTGATCACAACATCCAAACATTTTATGTATTGCTTTTAAAAGTGCTCTTTCTTAAGGCTTACATCTTTATAAAGTGTGTGAGGTCAGTCCCCAGTGTAATGACTTACATCCATGTCGAAAATTGCTTGCTTTTTTTTTAACTACTTCCTTCAGATGACTTCTATAGATTGGCCTACCTCCAACAATACCTTGTTGTTTAAAAGAAAGTAATTGAGAGAGTCTAGGGAATATGAAAGATTCTGTGAGCTTTTATAAGAACTTAAATATAAGGCAACTCTCTCTTCTAAGAGTTTTTTTGGGGAAAAAACACCTTGAGTTATGTCCAGGTGTATACTGTATGTTAACTTCATTTCATTTCTTTCTTTCTTTCTTTTTTTTTTTGAAACAGGGTCTCACTCTGTCGCCCAGGCTGGGGTGCAGTGGCGTGATCACAGCTCACTGCAGCCTTGACCTCCCTGGGCTCAGGTGATCCTCTTGCCTCAGCCTCCCAAGTAGCTGGGACTACAGGTGCTTACCACCACGCCCAGCTAATTTTTGTAGAGACTGGGTTTTGCCATGTCGCCCAGGCTGGTCTTGAACTCCTGAGCTCAAGCGATTTACCCACCTCAGCCTCCCAAAGTGCTGGGATTACAGGTATGAGCCACCACTCCCGGCCAGACTTTGTTTCTTAAACATTCCAACCAGCCTGTAGAAGTCTGTATGGTGGGCATTATCCCCACTTAACACATGAATAAGGTGAGACTCAGAAGGTGAGGTGCTTTGTCCGAGGTACCCAGCAAGTGGTAGAACTGGGATGCAAATCTAAGCCTGTCTGATTCTCTTGACTCACCTCTTCCATTAAAGCACTGACAAAGTTTCTAAACCACCTTCCTAATTTAGATTGCTGGCCCTCCATAAGTGTGTGAAGCTGTGCTGACAGAATGCTAGCGCTGATTCATTTATTATTCTTTTATTGCCTTATGGTGGTATAGCTGTGTGCAGTATTTCATAAAGAAAATGACAAAGCAATTTGCAAATATAAAACCCAGATGCTTAATTTTAATTTCTGGGTTTCTGTTTCAAATCCATTGCAACACAATGCGTGTTGTTTACACTATAGCTGAAGTCCCCAGTACTTATAAGGATCGGGAAAGTTGCTTTTAGGTCCTGAAGTGATGTATTTGCTTGCGTTTCTTTTGTTCTTGGAAACCAACTCTTTCAGGAATGAAGTGGAAAGAGACAATGGTGCCTTCTTTACAGGTGCAAGGTTCCCTACAGTGGTGTGTGTGCTGGAGTTGGCTCTTCTGTGCTTCTGAGAGCTGACTGTGAGCTTCTCTTTCCAACTCTGTTCAGTGACATCATGCTGGGAGCTTGAAATCAGTCACAGTGAGAGTATTCACACTATGGAAATGGGCAGCCCTACAAATCAAGTCTCCTTCTCTCCCCTCTCTCCTGCAGCCCCTCCCCAAAATGATTTAACCTCCTTGTGCCTTGGGAATAATAAGAGTGCTTCCCTTCTAGGTTATTCTGAAGATTTAGTGAGATAAAGCATGGAAGGCACCTGGCACTACCTGTGTGTTTATGTATTTAAGCAAGTACTGCATACTTGGAGTAGAAAAAATCAAACAAGTAAACAGAAGGTTAGAGTGAGAAGGAAGTTTCCTTCTCATCCCGGACCTCCATTCCAATTCCTATCCTCGAAGGCAAACTATCTCTCTAAATCCTTCCAGAGATGTGCTCTAAGATGTATATATTCTAAATGGGCTCATGTAGCTCTAACTTAATATTTTTAAAGCCTGGTCTATTGTTCCATTTTTGGATGCACCAGGGTTTGTTTAACCAGCCCTCTATGGATGCCATTTAGGTTGTTTCCTATCTCTTTCCAGTAAAAATTATGGGCACTGAACAACTTTGTCTTTTGCAAATAAACATGAGTGTATCTATAGGCTCCATTCCTAGAAATAGAACTATTAGGTCAAAGGTTATGAGCATCTTAATTCTGGTTTGATTATCAAATTGCTTTCTAGAGGCCATGCCAATTCACTCTCCACAGTGTAGGCAAGTGCTGGAGTCTCCACAGTCTTGGGACATTGTCTAACTTTTTGATCTGTGTCATCTGATCATTTTTGGCACCTAAGACAGGTAAATGATTCTCATTATTATTATTGATGGAGAAACCCGGGTGCAGGGAGGAAAGGGAGTTGCCCCACACCACCCATATCCAGGCTTCTGCACACAAAGCAAAGAAATGATAGTTGAGGCTGATGCCATTAGCCCTGCCAGGAAGTGGGGAGTAATCCTTGAGCCCTGGGCAGTTGGAAATTCTATGAACTTGCTTTGCAGGCTCTTTATCATCCCTGTTTTTCTTGAGTGCAATTTCTCAGGAACATGAAGGATCAAGAAGGTGTGAAGCTCTGGTGCTCTGAGAAGCTTCAGTACGGCTTGTTCTCTACTATAACAGACAACTTCCTGAAATACAGATGCCATTTCTCTCTTCAGAACTTTCTGTGGCTCCACATTTCTCAAAGTTCCTGGACCAGCAGCACCTGGGAACTGGTTAGAAATGTGTATTTTTGGCTGGGCGCTGTAGCTCACGCCTGTAATCCCGGCACTTTGGGAGGCTGAGGTGGGCTGGTCTTGAGGTCAGGAGATCGAGACCATCCCGGCCAACATGGTGAAACCCTGTCTCTACTAAAAATACAAAAAAATAGCTGGGTGTGGTGGTGCGCACCTATGGTCCCAGCTACTCAGGAGGCTGAGGCACGAGAATTGCTTGAACCCAGGAGGCGGAGGTTGCAGTGAGCCGAGATTATGCCACTGCACTCCAGCCTGGCGACAGAGCAAGACTGTCAAAAAAAAAAAAAAAAGAAAAAAGAAAGAAATGCGTATTTTCAGGCCCCTCCTAAGACCTATGAAACCAGACACTCTGGGGGTGAGGCCTAGTAATGTGGGTTTTAACAAGTCCTCCAGGTGATACTGATACATACTTAAGTTTGGAACCACTGATTTACAGAATAAAGTCTGTAGCCCCACAGTCTGGGGCAACTGTGGCCCCAACCTACCTTTCTTACTGTATTTCCTTCCTCCAACAATTTTTAAACATACTTAGCTACTGGCTCCTTCTAAAACCCCCCTCCACTTCCTCATCCCTGTGCTTGGAGCAGAAACCTCTAGTTGTCTCCCAATTTTTTCTACAGCAACAGAGGCCGTCATTTAAAAACTGTATTTCCCAATCTCCCTTTTAACTGTGTTCTGGCCAATGGGGCAAGAGCAGGAGTAAAACGTGCAACTGCTGAAATGTGCTCTTAGGAGGGAAGAGTATGCCTGCTATCCCCTTTCCCTATTTGCACTGGCTGGAACACAGATATGATGGCTTTGGACCATGCAAACAGATGAGGACTGGGGCTCAGGTGTGGTGGAGCATCAGGAAGGAAGGAGTCTGGGTTCTTCATGCTGTGGGGTCACTGTGGGAGCCATAGAATACATAAGCCTGGACTGTTATAAAAGACAGAAACCTATTTTATTTGACCACTGTGACTTTAGATCTATGTCAAAGCAATTAACTATCTTCCCTAATACAATACCTTCCCGTACACTGTCCTCCCTCTACTGGCCACATCCCTCTCTTCCTTTCAAAAACAAAATCAAATGCAAACTTCCTTTCCCCGATCCTAGAAGAGTTGATTTCTCTTCACTGGTTGCTCATTCCACTTTAGAGTCCTTGTTGCTGGCCAGCTGTAGTCAAATCATTTCACCATGAGATCGGGAGCTCTTCGAGGCAGGGGCCAAGCTGGGTCATCTTGGAATATTCCCACAGTTCTGACTCAGTGTCTGCCACACAGTAGATACCAACAGACATTTTTCAGGGGCAATTTCAAGTCAGCATCTGCGTTTTTCTATGCTCCTGGCTAAATTGTGCTTTGATGAGTACTTTGGATGAGAACTGAGAATCAATTCATAATCTGAAATTGTGGCCTGAAATTCTTTTCCACTTCCCAGAGCAGCTGTGGACCAAGTGGACTGAGACTGGCCCCTAATGGGTGCTTTGGGGACGGACAGGAGTCGGGAGTTACGAGGAAGGTAGTAAATTAGGAGGAAATCATTTATTATACGTCTGCATAACCCGCTAAGCCCCTTTCTCTCCGTGCTTGGTCTGAATGGCCTCAAGGTCAAGACTTGTGAGAAACTGTGACCCTTTTTAAAGGCCACTCCATCACTGCAGCCCCATGTTTCATGCCCCAGGAGCATGAAACTGGTTTCTTAGAATAGTGTTTGTTCCATGAGACCAAGCTATATCAGAACGCTCTGACTTTTACTCTGACTCAGAACTAGAAGTCTAAAGCAATATGCTGTCAACCAGATTGGCGCATGCTCTCTCTCTCACTCCCTCGCCCTCTCTCTCCCTCTCTGAGTGCCAGGCACTGTACAAGGCACTTGGAATACAAAGTTGAAAAGATGCTCTCCTTGCCCCAACTCACTTGTAAGGGCCAGAGCACGCATGGACAAATCATCACCAAATGCGATCGGGGTTACCTGGGGGACCCTGAGACCCTTTAAAGCATCCATGAGGTTAAAACTATTCTCATAATAACACCGAGGCATTATTTGCCTTTTTCACTCTCCTTCTTTCACAAGTATACAGAGGGTTTTACCCCAGAATCGAGCCCAGATTCATACAGTCATCCCTCTGTATACACAGGGGATTGGTTCCAGAACCCCTGAAAATACCCAAATCAGGACATACACAAGTCCCGCAGTCAGCCCTGTGGAACTCCTGTAAACCAAAGCCCTCTATACATGCTGTTTTCACATCCTGAGAATACTGTACTTTCAGTCTGCGTTTGGTTGAAACAAATCCGTGTCTAAGTGGACCTGCCCAGTTCAAATCTGTGTTGGTCAAGGGCCAACTGCGTACCTCCAGAAAACCCTGCAGAGGCTACATGATGTGTGATTATCAACACATCATAATAGAGAAGCAGACATGAGAATCCAGTTGTCCATGAAGCCAGACATTAAAGAGGTTTACAGAAATATAAGGCAATGTCACTCTTCACACTATGTTTTTTGAAAAATATACTCATATTTCACAAAAAATGTTTTGTTTATATTAGCATGTAATGGATTTATTATTGCCTTAAAAATAGACTAATAAATACTTTTAAAATGTCTGTTAATTTCTGGTACAGTACATATCGATATACAAATCTCTTTGGAGTACTCAATACTTTAAAAAACTTTTAATTTTAAGATTATTGTAGACTCATGTGCAGTTGTAAGAAATAATACAGAGATCCTTTATACCCTTCACCCAAATACAGTGGCTGTACCATTTTACATGCCTACCAGCAATTTATGAGTGATCTGTTCTCTCCATTCTCATAATTCTCTGCATTCTTACCAGTGGTTGCTGTTATTATGTAAAATCTTGCATAACTTTAGTGCAATATTACAGCCAGAAAACTGGCACTGATGCAATCCACCCGCCTTATCCAGATGTCATGTGTGGCATGCACTCACGTGTGTGTGCGTGTGTGTATTTAATTCTATGCAACTTTATTACGTGTAGATTTGTGGCACCACCACCACAGTCAAGATACAGAACAGTTTCATCACGAGGATCCCTCATGCTACCCTTTTGTAGCCACAGCCACCTTCTTCCTTCCCTCATCCTTAATCCCTGTGTGCTCTCTCTCTCTCATTTTGTCATTCCAAGAATGCCATGTAAGTAGAATAACACAATATGTAACTTTTTTTGAGATTGTCTTTTTTTTCACTCAGCATAGTTCCCTTCAGACCATCCATGTTGTTGCATGTATCAATAGTTCATTCCTTTCCGTGGCTGCATAGCATTCCATGGTAGCCATGTAACACCATCTGTTTAATCATTCACCTGTGGAAGAATATTTGATATTTTTGATTTCTCGGTATTATGAATAAAGTTGGTATGAACATTCATATGTGGATATGAGTTTTCATTTCTCTGGGATAAATGCCCAAATACAATTGCATGTGTGGTAAGCACATGTTTAATTTTGGAAGAAACTGCCATGTCTTTTTCCTGCATGGCTGTACCATTTTACATTCCTACCAGCAATTTATGAGTGATCCATTCTCACCATTCTCACCAGCATTTGGTGTTTTTGTTTTTGAGACAGAGTCTTGCTCGGTTGCCCAGGCTTGAGTGCAGTGGCACAATCTCGGCTCACTGCAACCTCCACCTCCCAGGTTCAAGCAATTCTCCTGCCTCAGCCTCCTGAGTAGCTAGGATTACAGGTGCCCACCACCGTGCCCGGCTAATTTTTGTATTTTTAGTAGAGACAGGGTTTTACCATGTTGGCCAGGCTGGTTTCGAACTCCTGACCTTAGGTGATCCGCCTGCCTTGGCCTCCCAAAGTGCTGAGATTACAGGCGTGAGTCATTGCGCCTGGCCGCTATTATTATTTTAGCCATTCTGATAGTTATGTAGTGATATCTCATTATGGTTTTAATTTACATTTCCTTAATGGTTAATGATGTTGAACATATTTTCACGTGCTTATTTACTAGCTGTTGATCCTTTTCAGTGCAATGTCTGTTCATGTCTTTTGCCCGTTTTCTAATTAGATTGTTTGTTTTCATTCTTGAATTTTGAGAGTTTCTTATATACCTAGATAGCAGTGCCTTTTCAGATATGCGGTTTGCAAATACTTTCAGTATTTTTGTCTTCTTCACAGGGTCTTTGAGCAAAAGGTTTTCATTTTGAAGGATCCATCTTATCCATTTTTATTTTATGCATCATGTTTTGGTATCAAGTTTAAGAATTTTTCACCCAGCTCTACATTCCAAAGATATCCTATGTTTTTTTTTTAATTCTTTTTCCTAAAAGTTTTATAGGCCAAGTATGGTGGCTCATGCCTATAATCCCAACAGTTTGGGAGGCTGACATGGGAGGATCACTTGAGGCCAAGAGTTTGAGGCCAGCCTGGGCAACATAGCAAAACCTCATCTCTACAAAAAATAATAAAAAAAAAATTAGTGGGGCATGGTAGCTCATGAGTGTAGTCCTAGCTACTTGGGAGGCTGAGGTGGGTAGATCTCTTGAGCCAGGAGGTTGAGGCTGCAGTGAACTATAATCACACCACTGCACTCCAGTTTGGGAGACAGAGTGAGAACCTGTCTCTTAAAAATAAAAATGAAAAATTTAAAGTTTTATAGTGTTGTGTTTTATATTTAACCTTTGATCCATTTTGAATTAATTTTCTTGTGTGAGGTTTAAGTCAAAGTTTATATTTGCCTGTGAATGTTAATTATTTTTAAGAGGCCCTGGGACCCAAGGTTTGAGAACTTGTACAATAAGGTCTGTGAAGTACTGCAGGACTGGTATGTGCAAGGTACTATGAGACAGTTAACTTTGAGCAGGGCAGTCCTGGAAGACTTAGAGGAGGTGGCATTTGGGTTCTGCTTAGGAGGAAGAACAGGATTTTGCCAAGCAATGAAGACATTCTTTTTTTCTGTTCTTCCATAGTCAGTGATATTCTCAGTGAAGATGTTAATTTTTAAAAAGTGATGGGGCCGGGCATGGTGGCTCATGCCTGTAATCCCAGCACTTTGGGAGGCCGAGGCAGGTGAATCATGAGGTCAGGAGATTGAGACCATCCTGGTCAACATGGTGAAACCCTGTCTCTACTAAAAATACAAAAATTAGCTGGGCGTGGTGGCACACTCCTGTAGTCCCAGATACTCAGGAGGCTGAGGCAGGAATATCACTTGAACCTGGGAGGCGGAGGTTGCAGTGAGCTGAGATTGTGCCACAGCACTCCAGCCTGGTGACAGAGCGAGACTCTGTCTCAAATAAAAATAAAAAAGTGACATATGGAAAATAAACAGAAGAGCCTAAGGAGTCAGACAGACCCGTGGTTGAAATCCTTTTTACATGGCTAACTTGCTTACCTTTTTTAAACCTTAGTTTTCTTATCTGTAAAATGGGGGAAATATGTCTTTCTTTTGAAGAAAACTGTGAAGATTAAATGAGATACATATGTAAACTGGGAAGCATGGTACCTTGCACATTGTAGGCACTCAATGAATGGCAGTTACCTTTTCTTCTCCTTTCATGATTTCCTTTAGCTTTTCTCCAGGTTATGAAGTTGGGCCCTTCCTTTGACCTTCAACCTCCTTCATTTGTTTTTCCCACATATTGTTCTAGATGAGTGGTTGTCAAACGTTAACTGGGCATCAACCATCACAAAGCTGGTCATCTTTTGTCATGGAGAGCTTCTTAAAACACAGATCGCTGCACCTTGCTCTCAGAGTTTCTGGTTTAGTAGGTTTGGGGTAGGGCCCAAGAATTTGCTTTTCTAACAAGTTTCAAAGTGCTGTGGCTGCTGCTGGTCCAGAAACCATACTTTAAGTGGCACCACTCTAGACAGTCCTTGTAATAGCCTCAATAAATTGTTTAGGAGGAATTAAGATGTTCATGTTGTACATGTAAATAAATTTTAAAGGAAATGTCTTGTTGTGTTTGTTTTTCAAAATTTGTGGAAAACTCAGTGGGGACACTTCTAGTAAGATGGCTGAGTTTTGCTTATTTGTCTTGTATTTAATCATGATTAAAAAAACACACACACATAGCTTAAATTTACCATCTGAACAACTTTACAAAGTGTAAAGATCAACAGTGTTAAGTATATTCAAGGAGGGCCAAGTTTTGTTTCTATCCACTTCTCTTCTCATTAAATCCACTTCAGACAATTAGGAGAACATGCAACAGAAACACCCTTTCCATCTTTGATGAAGCCCGTAGAACATCTCTAGCCCTGCAACACTGTAAAGGAAGACAGAAACTGTGTTGGGGAATGGTAAACAATTTGGCAGAGTGGAAGAAGGTTAACCCTGCCGCCTTCGAAGGGGCATCTATTGAGGAACATCCAATTCACCCCAGAATGCCAGAAAGCCTCAGGAATTGGCAGAACCAGACATTGAGGAGGTGGAGGGAAAGCAGGATGCTGAAAACACGAGGATTGACTGAAAGTCTTTGTGGGGGCATTTTGACCTTATGCAGCCATGCACGTCTGTCCCCAGAGGCCACCGGGGATTTGATCTCTGGGAAATTTGAATCAGGTTCCAGATTTAGCAGCCACAAAGAGAGCATTGACTCTGGCTGCGATATAGGGGAGAGGTGGGAGGGGGCTGAACAACATAGGGGTTAACTAAAAAGCTGCCTCCCGAATGATGACACCTCCAACCTGTTCCTAGCCCAGCATTAGAACATTACATCTAGGCTCATTGGGCAATGTCCCCCATCCCCTAACAGGCAATGGACTGGAGCTTCTTTCTATGAAGAAATTGAACTGCCCCAGAGAATGGACCTGCAATCGTGACCTTTGGAACTTTTCAGTGAAAAATCTGGCTGGACACTCAATTGCCTATAAGGAAATACATCAGTTGTGAAACCCTCTCCGTGCTTACTAAGCTTTCCATCAGCTTTTACTCGCCTCCCTTTGAGATAAAGATCATCAGTCCCTTGAGGTAAGTTTCCAGCCTGAAAGAGAGACCAAACCAAATCTTGTTGCAGAAACAATGCTTTGCTGTGACTTCCACTTTAGCCCTCTCTGGGGCTGTTGTGCATCTGCAGATGAAGGGTTGGGGACATAATGGATTCTTAATCTTGGATCCCTGCATCCCTTGGCAGTGTGCCAGTTTCTGTATATGCAGGTATATGGGCTCAATTTTGGGGTAGAATTAATCAGATTCTTCAAGGGGGTCTCAGATCCCCTAAGAACTGATGATCCACTTATTGTCTGAGTCTCTAAGCTCTCTCCCTGGCTTTATTCCTTGAATATATCTTACCTTCACACAACTCCAGGCCTCTGCACATGCAGGTAATTTGACTAGATCATCTTTTTCCTATTAGGTGGAGTTAATTCCTACTCTTCCTTCCAGACTTATCTTAAATATCAGCTTTTCCAGGAAGTCTTTCCTGGCCCCCAACTTCTCTTCTCAGTTTAGGTGACCACTTGGTGTTTCCCCATCTGTTGACTTTCCCCATTTCCTTTAGAGGGATGTGCCTCCTGCGTCTGGGTGGAAAAGCCCAACTTCTCCCAGCAGCACCTGTGTTCCCAGTCTCAGGATGAAGCATTTGTTAATTGGGCTGAGAGCTGGTCTGGATAGGAGTAAATCAGCTCAGTCCTTTGAATTACACTTCAAAGTCCAGCAGAAGGCAGAGTGCGTTGTCTGAAAAAAGAAAAAGGGGAAGGCAGGGCAATTATCACAACTCTTTGTGCCTCTGCCCTTAGGCTCCCTAGTAGGGCTGGGTTTTACTGAAGCTCTTTTGAATACTGTAAAAGTGAATCTGAACTTGGTAAAGGAAAGTCAAGGTCAAGGCAACACCTCAACTGTCTGGTTCAGCACCAGATGCTACCGCTTCTCAGGACAGGGGAATGAAGTATCCAAGTGGGTCCAGCCCTAACCTGTGCGATATGTGGGATGGATATTATTTATTTGGGGGCCATCCTGCCTCTGTTTGCTATATTTGGAGAATTCCTCATATTATGAGTCTTAATGGGAGGCAGACATCACTTGGGATTTCAAAACCTCCAAGGAGACGTATTCAATTTCCCAGCCTCCCTTGCAGCTACAGGATGGTCATGTGAGCTGGGCTTAGCCAGTCAGGTACACTTACCCACACTCTGGAGAGAAAACAAGTGACACAAGAAATGAGGATGGTGAGGAAGGCTTGCATGACAAGGGCAGCAGTCACAGGAAATTCGTGTTCCTGCAGCAGGGGTGGTCGTGGTGCTGAGGCAGCATCCAGGCTCCCAGGTGGGAGGGGTCAGTGATGCACTTCACCATGTTCAGTGCTCCCCTAGATCAGAGGTGTGCTTCCTGGACCACTTTGTCCTGTACTTTGATTTTCAGCATGGTTCCCTGTTGCAGAGTCTCTGTCTTCAGGTTTTTCCAAAAGCAGAGCTTGAAACAAGAACCTCAGGTGGAGATGGTTTATTTGGGAGGTGATCCCAGGAAGTAGGTACGAGGAAGTAAGGAGAATGACAGCGGGAAGGAGGAAAAGCCTAGAAAGGGTGCATTCTCAAGGTGGCTCCTAAAGGAAATGGGGCTCAACTCCAGGGACCTCTGAGAAGCAAAAAGAATAGTAGGCATTTATGTGCCAGAGTCCTTCCCCATTGGATTGCCTCCAGGAGTGGCCATATTCTTGCACTTCTGAACTGAACCTATGCGTGGGCTGAGCAGACTCCTGGGATTTCAAGAAAGTCCCAAGGCAGAAAAGCAGAGATGGAGTAGGCCCCTGAAGTAGAACATGATCAATGTGAATAGATCTATTCACCACAGCTGGGGCCAAGCAATTGTAACATGGGGCACCTGAAGCACCTGTTTCTGCCCCTAACCTGGTTAGTCAGTTCTGGCAATTTTCTGTACCACCCCATTTCTTCCTAGTTTATTTCTTTTCTGCTTACGCTGATCAGAGTTGGTATCTGTGGCTTGTGGTTAGGAACCTTCACTGATAAGGAGTGAACTGAGACAGGTGAGTAAGTTGCCTGGACACCCTTCCTCCTGCCCTGGCAATGCACTTAGTCCTGGACCAGGGGGATTCTTCTTCCTAAATCCTCCACTCCTCCCAGGCATTGCCCAGGTTCAGGCCACCCCATCTCTCATCTGGATTGCTTCTCAAATGCCATTCTCCTCTTCTTCTGTTCATCTCCTATATTGCAGCCAGAGTCAACTCTCGAAAGTCCAAATCTGCTTTTGTTGAGAGGCATGAAAATTCTTTCAATGACTTCTGCCTCATACTTCTGTCCTCCAGAGGGATAAACCATGGTTAATTCTTTTTTTTCTTTTTTTTGTCGTTGAGATGGAATCTTGCTCTGTCGCCTAGGCTGGGGTGCAGTGGCACGATCTCGGCTCACTGCAACCTCCACCTCCTGGGTTCAAGCGATTCTTCTGCCTCAGCCTCCTGAGTAGCTGGGAGTACAGGCATGTGCCACCACACCCGGCTAATTTTTGTATTTTTTCTAGAGACAGGGTTTCACCACATTGGCCAGGCTGGTTTCTAACTCCTGACCTCGTGATCCGCCTGCCTCACCCTCCCAAAGTGCTGGTATTACAGGCATGAGTCACCGCGCCCAGCCTAACCACGGTCAATTCTAAGACACCTGAGGTCTTTCACAGGTCAGTTTTGACACAGAATTTCATTTGAAGAAGTATACTCCAACCCAGTAATAGAACCATCTTATAGCATTGTTGTGAAAATTAAATTATGTGTACACAGGCCGGGCGCGGTGGCTCACACATGTAATTCCAGCACTTTGGGAGGTGGGCGGATCACCTGAGGTCAGGAGATCGAGACCATCCTGGCTAATACGGTGAAACCCTGTCTCTACTAAAAATACAAAAAATTAGCCGGGCGTGGTGGCGGCCGCCTTTAGTCCCAGCTATTCAGGAGGCTAAGGCAGCAGAATGGCGTGAACCCAGGAGGTGGAGCTTGCAGTGAGCCGAGATCGCGCCACTGCACTCCAGCCTGGGCGACAGAGAGAGGCCTGGGCGACAGAGACAGACTCCGTCAAAAAAAAAAAAAAAAAAAAATTAGCCGTGCGTGGTGGCAGGTGCCTGTAATCCCAGCTACTCCAGAGGCTGAGGCAGGAGAATCGCTTGAACCCAGGAAGCAGAAGTTGCAGACAGCCGAGATTGCGCCATTGCAGTCCAGCCTGGGCAACAAAGTGAGGCTCTGTCTCAAAAAGAAAAAAAAAAAAAAAAAAAAAAAATATATATATATATATATATATATATATATATATATATATATATATATATATATATATATGTACATAGTGCCTGGCACACATTAAATGCTAGCTTTTTGAAATTTAATTTTAAAATACACTTTCTTTTTTGCATCACTTTTAGGTTCATAGCAAAACTGAGTGGAAGGTAGAGAGATATCCCATATTTCCCCTGCTCCCACATACACACAGTTGTGTGTATGTGGCAGCAGTTTCCTATATCCCAAACCAGAGCGTTATGTTTGTTATAATCAACAAACCTTCACTGACACATCTTTATCACTCAGAGTCCATAGTTTACCTTAGGGTTCTCTCTTGGTGTTGTACATATCTTGGGCTTGGACAGATCTAGAATGACATGTATCCACCATTACATTATCACACAAAGTAGTTTCACTACCCTGAAAATCCTCTGTGCTCTTCCTTATTCATCCTTTCCCCCCAACCCCTGGCAACCACCGATTCTTTTTACTGTTTCCGTAGTTTTGTCTTTTCCAGAATGTCATATAGTTGGAATCACACAGTATGTGGCCTTTTCCGATAGTCTCCATTCACTTAAGAACATACATCTAAGTTTCCTCCATCTATTTTCATGTTTTGATAGCTCATTTTTCCTTAGTATTAAATAATATGCTATTGTCTGGATGTACCACAGTTTTTATCTATTCTCCTACTGAAAGACATCTTGATTGCTTTCAAGTTTTGGCAATTATGAATAAAGCTGCTATAAACATCCATGTGCATATTTTTGCATGGACATAAGTTTTCAGCTCCTTTGGGTAAATACCAAGGAGTGTGATTGCTACATCACGCAATAAGAGTATGTTTAGTTTTATAGGAAACTGCCAAACTGTCTTTCAATGCGGCTGTACCATTTTGCATTCCCACCAGCAATGAATGAGAGATCCTGCTACTCCACATCCTCACTAGCATTTGATGTCATCAGTGTTTTGGATTTTTACCATTCTGATGGGTATGTAGTGATATCTCATTGCTGTTTTAATTTGCAGTTCCCTGGTGACATATGATGTGAAGCATCTGCTTAGATGTTTATTTGTTATCCATATATCTTCACAACACAACACACAAAGGTGTGTGTACAGGTCCTTTGCCCATTTTAAAATCAGGGTTTTTTTGTTTCTGTTGAGTTTTTAACAGTTCTTTGTATATTTTAGGTAACAGTCCTATATCAGATGTGTCTTTTACAAATATTTTCTGTTGGTCTGTGGCTTGTCTTTTCATTCTCTTGACATTGTCTTCTCAAGAACAGCTTTTAATTTTAATGAAGTCTAGCTTATCAGTTCTTTCTTTCATGTTTCATGCTTTTGGTGTAATAATGTAAATAGTATCTAAAAAGTTATCACCATACACAAGGTCATTTAGATTTTATTTTATGTTATCTTCTAAGAGTCTTATAATTTTGTGTTTTACATTTAGGTTTATGGTCCATTTTGAGTTAATTTTTGTGAAGAGTGTGAGATCTGTGTCTAGATTCATTTTCTTTGCATGTGAATGACCAGTTGTTCCATTATTATTTTTTGAAAGACTATCTTTTCTCTATTGTACTACCTTTCTTCCTCTGTCAAAGATCAACTATTTTTATGTGGGTCTATTTCTAGGATGTTTATTCTGGTCCATTGATTTGTCTATTCATTCACCCATATTACAGTCTTGATTACTGTAATTACTGTAGCTTTGTGTGTGTGTGTGTGTGTGTGTGTGTGTGTGTGTATTTTTTTTTTTCCGTTTGAGAGCAGGTACTGTTTATTAACTGACCAGATTAGAAAAACAATCATGATAGACACCTTAGTTCATTCTTCTAATAAGCCTGTTGATCTGGTCCTCCCTGTTGCCAGCATCTCCACCTTCTGTGAAATGGGTGGTCTGTTACTTCATTCCACCTCGTGGAGAGAATAATTTGAAGGGCCACAGGAAGTTATTTGCTTCTTTAAAGCGTTTCCCAACAGTATAGATCTCATAATCAGATCCTCCATGCAGATGATGCCGTATTTGCCAAGATATCGAGCAATCAAAGTGTTATCTGTCAAAGCAATTCTTTTCTTATTGATTACATCTATTTAGTGCTGTGGCATGATCATAGCTCACTGCATCCTTGAACTGCTGGGCTCAAGCAATCCTCTCACCTCAGCCTCCGAAGTATGTAGCATTCATTACATTAAATCTTGAAATCGGATAGTGTCAGTCCTGACACTTTTTCTTCTCCTTTAATATTGTTTTTCTTCTTTAATAGTGTTCTCCTCTTTTAATATTGTCTTGGCTATTCTGGATCTTTTGCCTCTAAATATAAACGATTTGTTGATATCCACAAAATAACTTGCTTTTGATTTTGATTTATATTGTATTGAATCCATTGAACTAAGTTGGGAAGAGCCAACGTCTTGACAATATTGAATCTTCCTATCCATGAATATGAAATATCTCTCAATTGATTTAGTTCTTTTTAGATTTCTTTTACCATAGTTTCATAGTTTTCCTCATATATATTTTGGACATACTTTGTTAGATTTATACCTACGTATTTCATTTTTGGAGTGGTCATGTAAATAGTATTCTGTTTCAAATTCCACTTTTTCAATGCTGGCATATAGGAAATTGATTAACTTTTAAACATAAATTTTGTATCCTGCACACTCACTATAATCACCAATTAGTTCTAGTGAGTTTGTTTTTGTCAAAATATGTTTTTAGCTGTAAGGTTTTTTTATCTGTACTTTATCAAGTCGAGGAAGTTCCCCTCTATTCCTAGTTTGCTGAAAGTTGATATTTTTTGTTAATTTTTCTCCTTCCTTCCTTCCTTCCTTTTTCTTTTCTTTTCTTTTTTTGACAGGGTCTGGTTATGTTGCCCAGGCTGGACTAAAACTCCTGGGCTCAAGTGATCCTCCTGGCTCAACCTCCCAAGTAGCTGGAACTACAGGTGTGTGCCACTGTACCCAGCTAGTTTGCTGAGAGTTTTTATGTTGAATGGATGTTGAATTTTGTCACTAGCTTTTTCTGCAACTGTTAATATGATTATGTGATTTTTCTTCTTTAGCCAGTTGATGTGGATTATATTTATTTATTTATTTTTAATTTGCTTTTAGTATCTGTCTGCTATTGAAAAATTAGTTGATGTTTGAATGTTGAACCATCTTTGCGTATCTGGGATAAATTTTACTTCGTCATGGTGTGTATAATCCTTTATCTACATTGTGGGATTTGATTTGCTAATATTTTGTTGAGGACTTTTTTTTTAATACTGTCTTTGGTTTTTGTATTAGGGTAATGCTGGCCTCATAGAAGGAGTTAGGAAATAGTCTCTCTGCTTCTATTTTCTGAGAGATTGTTGAGAATTGCTATAATTTTTTCTTCTCTTTCTTCTTCGTATTCCTCCTCCTCCTCTCCTTTCTTCTTCTTCTTCTTTTTCCTCTTTTTCCTCTTTTCTTCTCTTCTTCTCTTCTTCTTCTTCTTCCTCTTCTTCTTCTTCTTTTTCTTCTTCTTCCTTCCCCTTCTTTTCTCCTCCTCCTCCTCCTGCTCCTCCTCCTCCTTCTCCTTCTTCTTCTTCCTCTTCCTCTCCTTCTCCTTCTTATTCTTCTTTGTTGAGACAGGGTCTCACTCTATCACCCAAGCTAGAGTGCAGTGGCTCCATCATGGTTCAATGCAGCCTTGACTTCCTAGTCTCAAGTGATCCTCCTGCCTCAGCCTCCTGAGTAGCTGAGACTACAAATGTGTGCCACCACACCTTGCTGATTTTTTTTTTTTTATATATCTTGTAGAGACAGGGATGTCGCTATGTTTTCCAGGCTTGTCTTGAACTCCAGGACTCAAGGGATCCTCCTGCCTTGGCCTCCCAAAGTAGTGGGATTACAATTGTGAGCCACTGCGCTTCACCAGTATAATTTCTTCTTAAATGTTTCGTAGAATTCAGCAGAGTGCATCTGGGCCTGGTGCTTTTTGTTTTGGAAGGTTATTAATTGTTGATTCAATTTCTTTAATAGATATAGGCCTATTCAAATTGTCTATTTTTTCTTGTGTGAGTTTTGGCAAACTGTGTCTTTCAAGGAATTGGTCTGCTTCTTCTAAGTTATCAAATTTGTGGGCATGGAGTTGTTAATAATATTCCTTTATTATCCTTTCAATGTTCATGGGATCTGGAATAATGGCACCTCTTTCATTTCTGATATTATTAATCTCTGCCTTTTCTTGTTTTTTCTTAGATAGTCTGGCTAGGGGCTTATTTATTTTTATTTTATTTTTTGAGACTGAGTCTTGCTCTGTCACCCAGACTGGAGTACAGGGGCATGATCTCGGTTCACTGAAATCCCCGGCTCCCAGGTTCAAGCAATTTTCCGGCCTCAGCCTCCCGAGTAGCTGGGATTACAGGTGCCCGCCACCATGCCTGGCTATTTTTTTTGTATTTTTAGTAGAGAAGGGGTTTCACCATGTTGGCCAGGCTGGTCTTGAACTCCTAACATCATGATCCGCCCACCTCGGCCTCCCAAAGTGTTGGGATTACAGGCGTGAGCCACCACACCCGGCCAAGGCTTATTTGACCTTGGCCAAAACTGATCTTTTCAAAGAACCAATATTTTGTTTTGTTTATTTTCCCTATTGACTTCCCATTTTTAATTTCATTGTTTTGTGTTTTGTTTTTAATTATTTCTTTACTTCTGCTTACTTAGGTTTAATTTGCTTTTTTTTTTTATTTCCTAAGATGGGAGCTTAGATTATTGATTTTAGTTATTTCTTTTTTTCTTTCTTTTTTTAGAGACAGTGTCTTGCTCTGTCACCGAGGCTGGAGTGTAGTGGCGCAATCTCGGCTCACTGCAATCTCTGCCTCCTGGGTTGAAGCGATTCTACTGCCTCAGCCTTCTGAGTAGCTGAAACTACAGGTGTGTGCCATCACACCTGGCTAATTTTTGTATTTTTAGTAGAGACGAGGTTTTGCCATGTTGGCCAGGCTGGTCTTGAACTCCTGACCCTCAAGTGATCCACCTGCCTTGGCCTCCCAAAGTGTTGGGATTACAGGCATGTACCGCCGTGCCCAGCCTCTTTTCTCTAACACATATATTCAATGCTATTAATTTCCCTCTAAGTACTGCTTTTGCTGCATTTCTACAAATTTTGATAAATTGTATTTTCATTTTTACTTAGGTCAAAATAGTATTAAATTTCTCTCAAGATTTCTTCTTTGACCTGTTATCAGAAAGTGTTGTTTACTCTCCAAATAGTTTGAAAATTTCTAGCTGTCTTTCTGTTATTGATTTCTTGTTTAATTTCATTGCTGCCTAAGAGTAGACATTGTATGATTTCTATTCCTTCTATTCTTTTTTTTTTTTTATACGGAGTTTTGCTCTTGTTGCCCAGGCTGGCATGCAGTGGCGTGATCTCAGCTCACCGCAACCTCTGCCTCCCAAGTTCAAGAGATTCTCCTGCCTCAGCCTCCCGAGTAGCTAGAATTACAGGTATGTGCCACCATGCCCAGCTAATTTTGTATTTTTAGTAGAGATGGGGTTTCTCCATGTTGGTCAGGCTGGTCTCGAACTCCTGACCTCAAGTGATTTGCCTGCCTCGGCCTCACAAAGTGCTGGGATTACAGGCGTGAGCCACCATGCCTGGCCAACTTCTATTCTTTTAAATGTGTTTAGGTGTGTTTTATGGACCAGAATGTAGTCTATCATAGTGATATTCATCAGAAATTGAGAAGAATGGGTATTCTATTGTTGTTGGATGAAGTAGTCTGTATTTGTTAATTATTTCTTGTTGATAAATGGTGCTATTGAGTTCAACTATATCCTTACTGACTTTTTGCCTGCTGTATTTGTCCACTGCTGATAGAGGAGTATTGAAGTCTCTACCTATAGTAGTAGATTCATCCATTTCTCCTTGCTTTTTTTTTTTTTTTTTTTTTTTTTTTTTTTTGAGACAGGGTCTCTCTCTGTCACCTACGGTGAGTGCAGTGGCACAAACACAACTCACTGCAGCCTCAAACTCTGGGGCTCAAGTGATCCTCCCTCGTCAGCCTCCTGAGTAGCTGGGACCACAAGTGTGAGCCACCATGCTGGGCTAATTTTTTATTTTTTGTAGAGATGGGATTTTGTTACACTTCCCAGGCTGGTCTTAAACTCCTGGACTCAAGTGATCCACCTGTCTTGGCCTCCCAAAGTGCTGGGATTGCAGGCATGAGCCACTGTGCCTGGCCTCTCCTTGCATTTCTGTCAGTTTTTGCCTCATGTATTTTGATGCTGTGTTGTTAAGTGCATAGACATTAAAGATTGTTATATCTTCTTGGAGACATAATTGTTATGTCTATTCTTGGAGAATTGACCATTTTATGGTTATGTAATGCTCTTCTTTTTCCTGATAATTTTTCTTGCTCTGAAGTCTGCTCTGCTTTTGTTTGTTTGTTATGAGACGGAGTCTTACTCTGTCGTCCAGGCTAGAGTGCAGTGGCACAATCTCAGTTCACTGCAACCTCTGCCTGCCAGTTTCAAATGATTCTCTTGCCTCAGCCTCCAGAGTAGATGGGACTACAGGCACGTGCTACCATGCCTAGCTAATTTTTATATTCTTAGTAGAGACAGGGTTTCACCATGTTGGCCAGGATGGTCTTGATCTCTTGACCTTGTAATCCACCCGCCTCAGCCTCCCAAAGTGCTGGGATTACAGGCGTGAGCCACTGCGCCCGGCCTCTATTTGAAATTAGTATAGATGCTTCAGCTTTCTTTTGATTGGTGTTGTCATGGCATATTGTTCTCTACCCCTTCACTTTTAATCTATATGTGTCTTTATATTTAAAGGGGATCTTTTGTAGACAATTTATGACCCAAATGGTTGGGTCTTTTTTTCTTTTCTTTGTTTTGAGATGGAGTCTCGCTCTGTCACCCAGGCTAGAGTGCAGTGGCATAATCTCGGCTCACTGCAACCTCTGCCTCCCGGGTTCAAGTGGTTCTTCTGCCTCAGCCTCCCGAGTAGCTGGATTACAGGCACCCGCCACGATGCCTGGCTAATTTTTGTATTTTCAGTAGAGACAGGGTTTCACTATGTTGGCCAGGCTGGTCTGGAACTCCTGACCTCATGATCCGCCCACCTCAGCCTCCCAAAGTGCTGGGATTACAGGCATGGAGCCACCACACCCGACGGTCTTATTTTTTAATCCATTCTGATAATCTGTCTTTTAATTGATGTATTTAGATCACTGACATTTACATGATTACTGATATAGTTAGATTCATATCTACAATATTTGTTACAGTTTTCTATTCATTGCCCTCGTTCTTTGTTCCTATTTTTGTCTTCCACTCTTTTTGTGTCTTTTGTAGTTTTAATTGAGCACTTTATATTATTCTATTGTGTCTCCAATATCATTTGAATATTTGCTACCATCAAATCTCATTTTGAAATGTAATCCCCAATGTTGAAGGTGGGGCCTAGCGGGAGGTGATTGGATTATGGGGGTGGATTTCTCATGAATGGTTTAGCACCATTCGCCTTGGTGCTGTTCTCGCCATAGTGAATGATTTCTCATGAGATCTGGTTGTTTAAAAGGGGCATCGCCCTCCACTTGCTCCCGTTTTTGGCCATCTGATGTGCCTGCTCCCACTTTGCCTTCTGCCATGAGTAAAAGCTTCTTGAGGGCCTCACCAGACGTCAAGCAGGTGTTGGTGCCATGATTGTATAGCCTGTAGAACTGAGAGCCAATAACCCTCTTTTCTTTATAAATTACACAGCCTCAGGCATTTCTTGACAGCAATGCAATGAACAACCTAACATACTCTCCTTTCTTGGTATATCATCCTTCTTTTTTTATACTTTTGTTAGTGGTTGCCCTGGAACTCACTTACTCTCTCACCCTCTCTATACATATATATAATGCATATACAGCTATATATAATGCATATGCATTCTAGTGGTTGCCCTAGAATTGTGTCTATATATAAAATACATATGCAATGAATACAAGTCCACTTTCATATAACACTATACTACTTCACAGGTAGTGCAAGTACCTTATAATAACAAAGTATTCCTAATTCCTCCTTCCCATGTCTTACATCATTGCTGTCACTCATTTTATTTACACATAAGTGTGTGTGTATACATACACACACATAAGCGTACATAATTGAATACATCTTTGCTATTATTTTTTAACCAACTGTCATCTGTTAGATCAATTAAGAATAAGAGTAATAAAAGCTCTATTTTACCTTCACTTATTCCTCGTTCGATGTTCTTTTTTTTACGTAGATCTGAATTTCTGACCTATATAATTTTTCTTCGCTCTGAAGAAATTTGCTTAACATTTCCTGCAAGGCAAGTCTACTGGCAACTGATTCCTTCCATCTTTGCTTGTCTGAAAAAGTCTTTCTTTATTTTTCATTTTGATGGATACTTCCACAGAGCACAGAATTCTAGGTTGCTTTTTTCTTTTTTCTTCTCTCAACACTTTAAATATGTGACTCTACTGTCTTCTTGCCTGCATGGCTTCTGAAGAGGAGACAGATATAATTCTTATCCTTGCTTCTCTATAGGTAAGCTGTTTTCTTCCTCTGGCTTCTTTCAAAATGTTTTCTTTATCTTTGATTTTCTGCAGTTCAAATATGATATGGCTCAAATGTCTTTTTTTGGGGGTTGTTGTTAGATTTTTGGCACTTATTTTGCTTGATGTTCTCTGAGCTTCCTGGTCTGTGATTTGGTGTCTGCCATTATTTGTGGGGGAATTATCAATGATTATTGCATCAAATATTTCTTCTGTTCCTGTCTGTCTTTATTTCTCTTCTGGTATTCCCTTTATGCATATGTTATACCTTTTGTAATTGTCCCTCAGTTCTTGCATATTCTTGTCTTTGTTTTGTTTTGTTTTCAGTCTTTTTTTTTTTGATTTTCAGTTTTAGAAGTTTCTACTGACATATCTTCAAAGTCAGACATTTTTTCTTTAGCCACATCCAATCTACTACTGAGCCCACCAGAGACATTCTTTATTTCTGTTACAGTGCTTTTAATCTTTAGTATTTCTTTTTAACTTTGTCTTAGATCTTCCATCTCTCTGCTCACATGCCCTGTGTGTTCTCTTGCATGTTGTCTACTTTTCTCATTAGAGCCCTTGGCATATTAATCACAGTTGTCTTAAATTTCCAACATCCCTCCCTGCTATATCTAAATCTGGTTCTGATGCTTGGTCTCTCTGCAAATTGTTTTTTGCCTTTTAGTATGCTTTGTAATTTTATGGTGAAAGCCAAGCATGATGTACTGCATAAAAAGAACTTAAATAAATAGGTCTTTAGCAGTGTGGCAGAAAGGTGTAGGGTGAGGGGAAACATTCTATAGTCCTATGATTAGGTCTCAGTCTTTTAGTGAGTCTGTGTCTATGAGCTGTGAGCTTCACATGTGCTTCTTAGTCCCCTCTGCCCCCTTAAGTGGGACAAGATGGCTAGAGTTGGGGGAGTTGGCTATTTCCCTTCCCCTAGGTTGGTTTGGTTCTGTTAAAACTCCAATAGGTCAAGCTCTGGCAAAATAGTTTCTCCTGAGGGCAGACTTGCTTATGAACAGAATGCTCTGGTGTATTTCACAATGGTTCCTTTCCCCATTCCACCTGCAAGAAGCCTTTGTTTTTCTTTAATACTCACCGTGAGAACCCCATAGAGCTCCTGAAGGTAAAAAGGTAAGAAGTGTGGGGGCCTCCCTATGACTGGACCCTTCTGACGTTTTTGTCTCTCAGACTTGTCCACATTGAGCCTCCATCGGTTTGTCAACTGCAGGTCAGGTTTTCCTATCTAGTACTGATTCCTGCACAAGTTTCTACTGGAGGATTTTTGCTCTGGTAAATTGTGATTCTATGTATCTGCCTCTCTTTCTCCAATTTAGAGGGCGGCAGTTTGTCCTATGATCTCAGTTCTCTGACAAATCTAAGAAGAGTTGTTGATTTTTCAGTTTGTTCAGTTTTTGGCTTGTTAGGATAAAATGACAACTTCCAACATCTCACATGTTGAACTGGAAACTGGAAGTCTGTGATTAAAGAAAATTTTTTTCATTGTGGTAAAATAGATAAGTTAAAATTTGCCACTTTAATCATCCTTAAGAGTTGAATTCAGTGGCAATAAATACATTCGCATTGTTGTACGACCATCACCGCCATTCATC
Organism: Homo sapiens; assembly: GCF_000001405.40. Lineage (NCBI taxonomy): Eukaryota > Metazoa > Chordata > Mammalia > Primates > Hominidae > Homo > Homo sapiens. Next base: position 2,067,488 of record NC_000020.11, on the reverse strand, counting down.
TCCAGAACTTTTCTATCATCCCAACCTGAAACTCTGTACCCGTTAAACACTAATTCCCCATTAAGTAACTGCAAGCTTTTATATGATTGCTGATGCTGTCACTACTATGTAGTAAGCAATGGCAGCTCTTCTACTGGGATATTGGGCATCATTCTCAAGAACATATGTAGGGTGGGGCATCATGACATACTTTTGAGAAGGGAGCTAATGAGGTCAATGTGTGTGTTTTAGGGAGAAAAATCACTAATAGAGAGAAACTGTGGTGGAGCATGGTAGTGATGCTCCTTCAAGTCAGAGCTAAGCAAGCTGCCCTGAAAATTGGTCCTAAATGGAAACGTTTATCAAAGTAAATGTCTTGGCTCCACATTGACTTCATTTCACTGGTTTTGTTTTATTGTTTCATCTGCCCAGGAATGGAACCTTGAAACTTTTAGCGAGATGAATGGGAAGATTCCTTGTACTAATCTCATTTCCAAATGTAACTGGTGTCTGAATTATGAAGCTCTCTGCTTCCAAAGGCTACGTTAACAGAACCATCTATCCTCCTCTCCATGTAAGAGGTCCAGGGTGCCATTGTGATGCATGTTCATTATTGCAGCAATGGAGAAGTAATGGAGTTGGTACAACCTTTCAGAAGGCAATTTGGCAATATGTATCAAAATGTAAAATTTGCAGAACTTTCAGTTTAGCATTTCATTTCAAGGATCCCAAAGAAGTAATTGGACAAATGGTCAAGGGTGTTTGTATAAAGATGTTCAATGCAGCCTTGTTTATAATTGTGAAATATTGGAAACATTCTAAATGTTCAACAGTAGGGGACAAGGTACATTAGTTATCCACACAGTGGAATGTTTACTATGCAACTCACCAAAGATAAGGTGGAGCTGGAGGTAAGGAAAAACCTCCACAGTATTCAGGGATATCCTGCAGAATATTTCTCTGGTTAACATTTTCCCAGTGGAATCATTCTTAGTTTATAATACCCAAACTTGAGAGAATACACATCTCTCAAGAACAATGTCTTTTTTGGCAAATGCTTGCACAGGAAAAACATTTATATTCATATCCCTAAAACACAATAGAATATTTTAAAATTATCTTGGGGAAAAAGTTACTCATTATATCGCAAATAAGTTTAATGAAGCTTAGAATTACATATAGAAGGATAAAAATGCAACTGAGTGACCCAAACCTTCCAGTACCAAGGAGTCCTGGCTGATAAAGTGCAGTGGAAGTCACTGGATGAGACGTTCAGGGATGCTTTTATGGAAGGAACAGCCCCTGTTCCTTGCTTCTCTTTTGCCTTTTTGCCCCTTCCCCATTCTCCCTGTCTGGAACATGGAAGTGTTGTCTAGAGTGCAGCAAACAGCATACAGCCATGAGACTACAAAGCCTAAAGATGAGTCTTCACAGTGTGCAGAGGAAAGAAGGAAAGAGGAGGCATAAGGCATACCCAGCACTTCTTGTTACATAAGACATATACGCATTTTAGTAATTTATATCTTTTTTTTTTTTTGAGAAGAAGTCTTACTCTGTTGCCCAGGCTGAAGTTCAGTGGCGCAATCTTGGCTCACTGCAACCTCCACCTCCTGGGTTCAAGCTATTCTACTGCCTTAGTCTCCCAAGTAGCTGGCACTACAGGCATGCACCGCCACATCTGGCTAATTTTTGTATTTTTAGTAGAGACATCATTTCACCATGTTGGCCAGACTGGTCTTGAACTCCTGACCTCAGGTGATCCACCTACCTTGGCCTCCCAAAGGGCTGAGATTACAGGTGTGAGCCACTGCACCCAGCCGATTTATATCATTTTTTGGTCATAGCTTCTTCCATGTGCTTCTAAACATGATCCTGACACTGTGGTTATTATTTTCCCTTTTTTTAATTTCTAAAACAAAATTATAAAAATATATCATGAACTAATAACAAACAATACCTGAAGGAGTTAAATAGAAAGAAGTTTAAAAACACTGCCAGGGTCAGTGGCTTATGTCTGTAATCCCAGCAACTCAGGAGGCTGAGGTGAGAGGATCGCTTGAGGTCAGGGGTTTAAGACCAGCAACATAGCAAGACCCTGTCTCAACAAAAATAAAAATAAAAAATCAGTTGGGTGTGGTGCCACTTGCCTGTTCCAGCTACTTGTGATGCTGAGGCAGGAGGATTGCTTGCACCTAGGAGTTAGAGGCTGCAGTGAGTCATAATTATGCCACCGTACTCCAGCTTGTACTAGTTAGGAAGCTTTTGGCTGTATGTAACTCAAACGTGAAAATGCAAATGAAATGCTATCTCACTCAAGAAGCTAGAAGTAGAGTGTTTCCAGGGTTGGCTAATTCAACCTTAGATACATCATCAAGGATTTGAGTTCTTTCTACATTCTTGTTCTGCCATCCCCAGATCATTGGCTCATCCTCTTAGTCCAGCCTTTTTTGGCACCAAGGAACAGTTTGGTGGAAAACAATTTTTCCACGGATGGCAGGGAGAGGGGGAAAGGTTGGGGAGGGTGCTGCTGGTGGTTTCAGGATGAAACTGTTCCACCTCAGATCGTCAAGCATTAGATTCTCATAAGGAGCGTGCAACCTAGATCCCTTGCACGCGCAGTTCACAATAGGGTTTTGCTCCTATGAGAATCTAATGCTGCTGCTGATTCTGACAGGAGGCGGAGCTTAGGCAGTAAGGCTTGCTCACCCCGCTCACCTCCTGCTGTGCAGCCCGGTTCCTAACAGGCTGCGGATAGGTTCTGGTCAGTGGCCCAGGGGTTGGGGACCGCTGTCTTAGTCTTATTCCCTCCAAGGCCCAGGATAATTGCCATTGCTCCAGAAGCGCCATGCTAATGGCAATATATAGAGGCAGAAGATATTAATATCTTAACCACGTCCCTTTCTGAGATTGGGGAAAACTTTTCCAGAACCTCCATCAGGTGGTAAGGAGAACAGGAATATAACAATTCTTAAATAAGTCAGTGGTAAGAACAGGACTGTAACAATGAGTTGAGACCAGTAGCTCTCAACTCCAGCCACATGTTAGCAATACCACCTGCAAGGTTTAGGCTCCTGAGTCCACAGCACACCAACAGTCTGTAGTGCAGTATCTCTGGGAGTGGGACCTGGGCTATGTATATATTTTTAATTCCCTGGGTATTTTCAATGGGTAGCAGAGTTCAAAACTACTCTTTTGGCTGGGCGCGATGGCTTACGCCTGTAATCCCAACACTTTGGGAGGCCGAGGCGGGTGGGTCATGAGGTCAAGAGATGGAGACCATCCCGGCCAACATGGTGAAACCCTGTCTCTACTGAAAATACAAAAAATTAGCTGGGCTAGGTGGCAGGCGCCTGTAGTTCCAGCTACTCGGGAGGCTGAGGCAGGAGAATCACTTGAACCCGGGAGGCGGAGGTTGCAGTGAGCTGAGATTGTGCCACTGTACTCTAGCCTGGGACAGAGCGAGATTCTGTCTAAAAAAAAAAAAAAAAACCTACTCTTTTATGCTAATTATACTTCACCTCCTGGGACCAGGGAAGGGGCTGATTTCCCCCTTGAAGCATATTTGGATTGTTGGCAGAGGAAATGATCAAGAAGTGTTAGTTATGCATGTAGACTAATGATAGTATTTAACGCATATGTTGTGCTCCTATTTCTGTAGTTTAAAAAATTGTCTAAGTACATAAAATGACATATATGACAAGAAAAAATCTGGAAGTCTACAGACCAGACTTTTAATACTGATTATTATGGTGGGGTGGGGAGGGTTAATTTTGGATTATTTTCACTTACTAGTTGAACTTTCACAATGAACATTAATCACATAATTAGAAAAACAATGATGATACACCATTTTGGAAAAAATATTTTTAAAAAAACAAAGAAAAAAAAAGAAGGTGTAGAAGAAGAGATGCTGCTTTGCCTTTGTAGGTTGTCTTCTGTGGGGCAGTCCAGTCCCTTGTTGAGGGACTTATTATTATGCCTGTAGAGTTGGCCAGGCATGGTGGCTTATGCCTGTAATCCCAGCACTTTGGGAGGCCAAGGCCAGTGGATCACCCAAGGTCAGGAGTTTGAGACCAACCTGGCCAACATGGGGAAAGCCTGTATCTACTAAAAATACAAATATTAGCGGGGCGTGGTGGTGCGTGCCTGTAGTCCCAGCTACTCGGGAGCCTGAGGCAGGAGAATCACTTGAACTTGGGAGGCGGAGGTTGCAGTGAGCTGAGATCAAGCCACTGCTCTCCAGCCTGGGCAACAGAACGAGACTGTCTCAAAAAACAAAACAAAACAAAACAAAAACAAACAAACAAACAAAAACAAAAACATAGTATTGATCACTGACCCAGCAATCCATATGACCTGGGCAAAGGTAAACCCTGATCATGACACTCTTATTTCCCTTGCCAGCAACTGGCGTAGGCCAGGACGTGTGATGCAGTTGTGGTCATTAATACGTGAGAAAGCATCTGCTGGTAGGGGTGGTGGCTCTGGGAAATGTTTCTTTACTTTTCAAAAACACACAGGAAAAGAGGGTCTCTTTTTACCCCAGACATATTCCTTATTACATGTAATGCCTGGCTCTTGCAGCTGCCATCTTATGATTAAGACAAAGTCCACACACTGAGGCTGTCACAGTGAAAATATGAAAAGAATTGGGTCCTCTTTGGTGGCACATTTTTAAACCTGATGTATAACTTTCATACAATAAAGTGCACACATCTTAAGTGTACAGCTTGGGGAAGATTTTATGTGTATACACTCTTGTAACCATGAGCCCGATCAAGATACAGCACACTTCCAGCTCTCCAGAGGGCTGCCTCGTGCCCCTTCCCAGGCAATTTCCTATCCTCAGTGTTCCAATGCCTTAACAATTTTTTTTTGTTTTTAATTGTGGTTATGAACACATAACATTAAATTTACACTCAAACATTTTTATGTGTACAGTTTAGTAGTGTTAATTATATTCACCTTGTTGTGTAACAGATCTCCAGGATTTTTTTTCATTTTGTAAAACCCGAACTCTATGCCCACTAAACACTAATTCCTTTCCCACCTCCTCCTGGCCCCTGGCAATCACCTTCTCTATTTTCTGTTTCTACAGTTTTGACTAATTTAGATACCGCATATGAGTGGAAACATATGGTATTTGCCATTTTGTGACTAGTTTATTTCACTGAGCATAATATCCTTGAGGTTCATCCATGTTATAGCATGTGACAGGATATCCTTTTTATATTTTTTAAATTTTACTTTAAGTTTTGGGATACATGTGCAGAACGTGCAGGTTTGTTACATAGATATGCATGTACCATGGTGGTTTGCTGCACCTGTCAACCCATCATCTAGGTTTTAAGCCCCACATGCATTAGGTATTTGTCCTAATGCTCTCCCTCCCCTTTCGCCCCACCTGCCGACAGGCCCCGGTGTGTGATGTTCCCCTCCCTGTGTCCATGTGTTGTCATTGTTCAGCTCTCACTTATGAGTGAGAACATGTGGTGTTTGATTTTCAGTTCCTGTGTTAGTTTGCTGAGAATGATGGTTTCCAGATTCATCCATGTCTCTGCAAAGGACATGAACTCATTCTTTTTTATGGTTGCATAGTATTCCATGGTGTATATGTGCCACATTTTCGTTATCCAGTCTATCATTGATGGGCATTTGGGTTGGTTCCAAGTCTTTGCTATGGTAAATAGTGCTTCAATAAACATACATGTGCATGTGTCTTTATAGTAGAATGATTTATAATCCTTTGGGTATATACCCAGTAATGGGATTTCTGGGTCAAATGGTATTTCTGGTTCTAGATCCTCCAGGAATCGACACACTGTCTTCCACGATGGTTGAACTAATTTACACTCTCGCCAGCAAATCCTTCTTTTTAAAGACTGCATAATATTCCTTTATATGTACAAACCATATTTTCTTTATCCATTCATCTGTCATTGGAAATGTGGGTTGTGTCCACATCTTCACTACTATGAATAATGCTGCAGTGAACATGAGAGTGCAAATATCTCTGAGATCCTGCTTTGAATTCTTTTGGAAATAAATCCAGAAGTGGGACTGCTGGGCCATATGGTAATTCTATTTTTAATTTTTTGAGGAACTTCCATACTGTTTTCCATAGCTGTTGCACCATTTTATATTCCCAGCAGTGCACAAGGGTTCTTATTTCTCTGCATTCTTGCCAATACTTGTTTTCTGTTCTTTTGATAGTGGCCATCCTAATTGGTGTGAGATGATATCACATTGTGGTTTTGATTGGCATTTCTCAAAATATTAGTGATGCTGAGCATCTCGTCATGTGCTTTTTGGCCATTTTCTTTCGGGAATTATCTATTCAAGTCCTTTGCCCATTTTAAATCCACTGTCCTAATTCCTATCTCCATGGTTTTACTTGTTCTTGATCTTTATATGAATTGAATAATATAGCATAAGCTCTTTTGTAGTTGGCTTCTTTTGCTCAACATGTTTTTGAGGTTCTTTAATGTAATTATTACACTGGTAGTTTATATTTATTTATTTATTATTTAATGTAATTATTATACCGGTAGTTTATATTTATTTATTTATTTTTGAGATAGGATCTGGTTTTGTCCCCCAGGCTGGAGTGCAGTGGCACGATCATAACTCACTGCAGCTTCAAACTCCTGAGCTCAAGCAATCCTCCTGCCTCAGCCCCCCACATAGCTGGGACTATAGGCGCATGCCACTATGCCCTGGTAATTAAAAAAAAATTTTTTTATAGAGAGAGGGTCTCTCCATGTTGCCCAAGTTGATCTTGAATTTCTGGTCTCAGGTGATCCTCCTGCCTTGGCCTCATAAAGACCTGGGATTACAGGCGTGAGCCACTATTCCCAGGCTAGTTTAGAGCACTGTGTAATGTTCCATTCATTTTTTCCATATAGATTATTTTCTATGTTGATATAAAATTTCTCCTGACCTACTGAATTTTGGTGGTAAATCAAGCTATCATACTTGTTTGGATCCAACATTGGAGTCTAAATGCTATTCCATTGGTCTATTTGTCCATCCTTGCACCAATATCACACTGCCTTAATTACTATAGCTTTATAGTAAGCATTGATAGCTGGTGGGGCATATCCTTCTTTAAGATTGCCTAGGTTATTTCTAGGTCCATCATATTTCCATATAAATTTTAGAATTAGCTTGATAATTTCTATACTTTGTCGGATTTTGGTTGGGATTGCATTAAATCTACAAATCAATTTCAAGGGAATTAATTACCAATATTGAGTCTTCTAATCCATGGTATATCACTGCATTTATTTTGACTTCAATCTGATGACATTATTAAGCATTTGATTTAATTTCATCAATCCTGGAGTTACCTTACTTTGGTCTTCATATTATTATATGATGCATTTTACTAATTAAGACTTTTTTTCTAGTTGTTTACAGCCATAAACATCTCAACTGATACAATAAACTTGTCCTCTATTGTGATAGATGAAGCAGAAGGCTTCAGTCTGTACGATTCACTGTGTGACCATGGGTAAGTCACTTTACCTCTCTGGGCCTATTTCCTTATCCATGAAAATCCCACAGGATCGAAAACCTTTTTCACAAACTGGTGAATGTCAACTCATCTCTTGTGTCTCAATTTAAGTATCACTTTTGTTAGGAAGGCTTCCCTGACTCTTCCAGAAAAATCTGATTTTCTTTTCCTGTCCATGTCTCTCAAAGCAATCAACACACTGTAATGCCATTGTTTACTGATTTGTCTCCATCAATGCCTTGGATCAGTCAGGGACTTGTAGGAAACAGAAAGCACAGTTACAGGCTTCCTTGAAGAGAGGATTAGACAGGATTAAGGGAACCCATACCGGAAGATGAAGCACCCAGGGCCTAGCCATAAGCCAAAGCCATTACCAGTCTTGGGCTTGAAGGATTAAGATGAAAGAATTATTACTGGAGCTTACTGATACCTATAGCTGTGGAACAGGGACTGCCCAACAGATGGACAGGTGGGGAGGGAAGAACAAATGCCCGCAACCTCTCCTTTTTCTCCCCCTCTGATTTCCTTCCACTGCTCCCATAGGCTGAAACCAACCACAGGTCAGAGGGTGATGGTGCTTGGGTGATAGACTGCATAAAGTTCAGTCTCCTGGAACATAGAGCAGGGCAGAGAGAGGCACATATGGATACAGGAGAAGGAAAAGGTAATGCTCAGGATACTTACCTTCAGTGTGAACCTTTGAGAATAGACATCAAGTCTTTGAAAAGTAATGTTGCCACAGTGCTTGTTACACCTGTACAACAATAAACATTATAGAAAATAAAAGACAGCCCCAGAAATGACCATAGCTAACTCTTTGTTATATAATATTTCAGATTTATGTATATACACACTGAATATATGGGTCTGTGGAAGATCACAATTTAAAAAATGACCACAGCAATATTTCTGGTCTTACGTGCTTTTCTAAACATTGCCACTCCCCATCACGAGGTAAATATGTTTTCCCTCCCCTTGAAACTGGGGAGGGCTTTGTGATTGCCTTGGCAGATAAAATGTGTCATACATGATACTTCATGACTTCTAAGTCATAAAGACACTATGGCTTCCACCTGGAAGTCTCTTTCTTGGGATGCTCACCTGGGAACTCAGCCACCATGTTGTGAGGAAGCCCTGTCACATGAGGAGGCCACATGCAAGTGTTCTGGCTGATTTCCCAGCTGAGATCCCAGCTGACAGCATCAATTGTCAGAATGAGCTTCTAGATGATTCCATCTTTCAGTGTTCAAGCCACCTCAGCTGATGCTAGTTGGAACAGGGCAATCTATTCCCCTAAATCCCTATCCACATTGAAGATGTGTGAGCAAAATAAGTGTAGTTGTTTTCTTAAGTCACGGAGGTTTTGAGTAATTTGTTACATAGTCATAATAACCAGCAAAGAGGCAATATGAGGAGGTTAAGCTCTCAGACTCTGCAGCCAGACTGCATGGGTTTGAATGTGGTCTCTGAAATTTATTCCCTGTGTAATATTTGGCAAGTTGTTCAAATTCTTATTTTAAGTTCAGGGGTACATGTGTAGGATGTTCAGTTTTGTTACATAGGTAAATGTGTGCCATGGTGCTTTACTGCACAGATTGTCCTATCATGCAAGTATTAAATCCAGCATCTATTCGTCATTCTTCCCCATGCTCTTCCATCCCCCACCTCCCCAGCCCCCAGGTGCCCAGTGTGTATTGCTCCCCCACCATGTGTGTCCATGTGTTCTCATTGATCAGCTCCCACTTATAGGTGAGAAAATGTGGTATTTGGTTTTCTGTTCCTGTGTTAGTTTGCTGAGAATAATGGCTTCCAACTCCAACCATGTCCCTGCAAAGGTTATGATCTCGTTCCTTTTTATGGCTGCATAGTATTCCACTGTGTATATGTACCACATTTTCTTTGTCTAGTCTATCACTGATGGGCATTTAAGTTGATTCCACGATTTTGCTATTGTAAACAGTGCTGCAATGAATATACACATGTATGTATCTTTGTAATACAATGATTTGTATTCGTTTGGGTACACACCCAGTAATGGGATTGCTGGGTCAAATAGTATTTCTTTCTCTAGGTCTTTGAGGAATTGCCACACTGTCTTCCACAATGGTTGAACTAATTGACACTCCCACCAACAGGGTAAAAATGTTCCTTTTTCTCCACAACCTCGCCAGCATCTATTGTTTTTTGACTTTTTAATAATAGCCAGTCTATTTTTTCCTTCTTTTTTTCTTTTTCTGAGATGCGATCTCACTCCATCACCCCTGCTGCAGTGCAGTTGCACGACCTTGGCTTGCTGCAACCTCTGTCTCTCAGGCTCAAGTGATCCTCCCACTGCAGCCTCCCAAGTAACTGGGACTACAGTCATGTACTACCACACAGGGCAATTTTTTTTTTTTTTTTTGTATTTTGGTAGAGATGGGGTTTCACCATGCTGCCTGGGCTGGTCTGCAACTCCTGGACTCACATTATCTGCTCACCTCAGCTTCCCAAAGTGCTGGGATTGCAGGCATGAGCCACCATGCCCAGCCATTAGTAGCCATTCTGATTGGCATGAGATGGTATCTCATTGTGGTTTTGATTTGGACTTCTCTAATGATCAGTGATATTGAGCTTTTTTTCATATGTTTGTTGACTGCATGCATGTCTTCTTTTGAGAAATGTCTGTTTATGTCCTTAAGTTGTTCAGATTCTCATCCTCACTTTCTTCATCTGTAAAATGGGAATAATGACATTAAAAATCTCACAGAGTAGGATTAGTGTATAAAACACTCCACCTAGTGCTCAGCACATATTAAGTGACTCTTTTTGATGATTGATTCCCTGAAAGCCCACCAGGAAAAACTGTTGATCAAACAAAGCTAAACATATTAAGTTAACTGTAGTAAGGGAGAACAATGCCTTAAAAAGTTCTTCTAGTATTTCAAAATGAAGAAATTAAGGAAAAGACACTTACAAGGTTTAGGCTGCTCAGGGTAATTTTTAGGTAAGTGATACAGACAGGTAATTGTCTGGGCTTGGGCAGAATTTATGACATAATTGCTTTGGATTGGTGAGCCCAGAGAGGCAAGAGCCTTGAATTAATTCTTGATGAGCAAGTTATCTATTTTGATAAGTAAGATGTTTAGTTGGTTTGGTCTTATCTTCCAAGAGCAGGCATTTCCTGGAGCAAACAGCTAAATTATTATTACTTGGTCCCGGTATTGTTTAAGGCAGGGGCAGAAAAATGTGTTGCTCACAGTTCTCATTATTATACGTATCTTTTCATGGAAAAAAAGATCATGCCCCACCTATTGTATTGAAACTTACCTTTTCATCTAACTACATGTCTTGAACACCTTTTCTTATCAGCACATGTCAATTAATTGTACCCTTTTCAACAGTTTCCAGGTATTAACTTGCATAGGTGCATCATGATTTGTTTGCCTTTTCCCATATTAGCAGGTACCTGGTGTGTATCTGAAGTGAGCTGGGGCACCCAGACCCTTAGTACAGTGCCTGGCACAGAGTAGGCACCCAGAAAGTGTGTGTGTTATTTTTTTGGGGGGGATGGAGTCTTGCTCTGTCACCCAGGCTGGAGTGCAGTGGCGCGATCTTGGCTCACTGCAAGCTCTGCCTCCTGGGTTCACGCCATTCTCCTGCCTCAGCCTCCCAAGTAGCTGGGACTACATGCGCCCGCCACTACGCCTGGCTAATTTTTTGTATTTTTAGCGAAGACGGGGTTTCACCGTGTTAGCCAGGATGGTCTCGATCTCCTGACCTTGTGATCTGCCCGCCTTGGCCTCCCAAAGTGCTGGGATTACAGGCATGAGCCACCGCACCCGGCCAGGGTTTGTTATTTTAAAGACAGTGGACATGACATGTGCAAGATGCCATATACATGTAATGTACGGGTGGAGGGTTGAGATTCCCTGATTTCTGCTCTTATCCCACCCCAGTTTGTCTCCTGTATTAGGAACCATGTCATGGATGTGCATGTCCTGGGAGAGATCTAGAAGTTCCTATGAATCTGGGATGGGGTAGATTGCTGAGGGGTTTGAAAACCAGGGAGCCCAGGGAGCTGTGGGATGAGCAGCTGAGGCAGGGCTGGATGGAGGATGCAGCTGGGGCTCAGGTGCCCAGGAGAGTGGTGGTGGCAAGAACAGACTGTGAGTTTCAGCGGGTGTGGGCTTTAGCAGCTGGCACCATCAGGACACCCCTGGCTAGGTAAAGCAAGGGGCATCTTGTGAAACCAGCCAGGACTCACAGGACTGTACCAGGGCCATCCCTCCCCATTGCCATGAGAACATTTCCCTACATCCAGATGTCATCTTGAGGAGAAGGAAGCAGAGGAGAAAACATTTAGAAGAAAAATAAAGCAGCCCCTGTAGAGATTTTAACCTGATAATCAGATGCAATATTTATGAAAAAGAGGATGAGATGCAATGAGGCATGGGTTTTCAACCTGGTGTGACATCACAGCAGCAGGGGGCATTTGGAAATAGGTGGGACATTTTCCACCCACTACAGAAAAGTAGAAAGAATCATGGAACAAATACACTTATATCTATCACGTGGATTTCTCAGTTATATGGGGGATTTGGCTGTAATCGTTTTATCTATTTTTTTTTCTGAAGCAGTTTAAAGCAAATTACAACTATCATAACATTTCAACCCCTAAATGCATCTCTGAAAAATAAGAACATTTTTCTGCATCATGTGGGGATGCTCTTGGTTGACACTAAGAGTGCTACTGGCATTTAAGTGGGCAGAGGTGAGAGGCTAAATGTCCTGCAATGTGTGATTTACTTCAGGATAGGAAGAATTGTCAGGCCTAAAGCTCCAATAGCACCATCTTGTAGAAAGCCTGTTCTGTAGAGGAATGAACTTGTGTGGGAGTGTGTGGGTGTAGGTGGAAGAGGTGCTGTCACATATTTATTCATTGTATATATGTGTGTGTGTGTGTGTGTGTGTGTGTGTGTGTGTTTATTATAAAAGTAACACAAAAACTGGTAAGATGTAGAGACATACCAGAAAAGTTTGAAGAAGCAATAGGATAAAATCACCTGTCATCCCATCATCCTCTGAGAGTCAACCACTGTTAACATTTTGGCACATTTCCTTCTAGTTCCTATCTTTTTACATAGTTGAGATAATGCTAAACATATACGCAGCTTCCCATCTTAGAAAGGCATACTTTTAATTGCTTATTTAAAGTTCCTTTTTCTCTGCCCACTCACGACAACCTAGTGGGGAAGGGAGCTGGAGAGCAAGAGAAGATCTGTCTCTAAAGCAAAAAATAATGCCACATTTTCCAGAAATGCATTTGATTTGTTGCTTGTTAATTTGTTTTCACCCTACCTACTTGTGACCTCAGTTAATCTTCAGAATTACTTTATGATGTAGAGATTATCATTCTCATTTTCCAGATGAGATACCTAAGGCACAGTGAGTTTAGGAAGCCCACCCAAGCAAGCTCTGTGCTCTTTACCATTCTGACTTGCAGCTCCTGAATACACTGTCTACTCCCTGACCAGCTCCAGGAACAGAGAAGCCAGGATATGGGAGTGCAGAGGGAGCACTTGACTCAGGGATCTTGGGAGATGGGAGATTCTGATTCTCTTCTACTGAATATTAAATGACAAGTAGGATTTACCTCAGTTGTGAGGAGTCAGTTTTCCACTCCCCATTTGATCACCCACTTCTAGGTTGGAACATGGTTTGGGGAAGAACTTACCTATCTGTGTCTGAGCATAGTTACCTGGGGCCAGTACCTGGAGTGAGAATGCAAACTACCTGTAGTAGGTTAAAGATGTCTGCAAATTCCTTGACACTCTTTTCATTCAAGAGGAGGGGTCTGTGTTTCTCCCCTTGAATCTGAGCAGACTCAGTGAATGTTGACTAATAAAACATTGCAGAAGTGAAGTTGTACCCATTTTTCTGGCCCAGGATTTAAGAGACTGGAGTCTTCCAGATTCTGTTTCTTGGAACGCTTGCTCTGAGAACCTGGCTGCCATGTTGTGAGGAAGCCCAAGCAGCACTGCAGGGAGGCCCATGCAGAGATAATGGAGGCCACCAGTGTATAGCCTTGGCCAAGCTCTTAGCCATTAGCTAGCACTGACTTACTCCCCATGTGAGTGAGCCAGCTTGGAAGCAAATCCTCCAGCCCCACTCACACCTTCCCAGCTGATGTTGCATGAAGCAGAGATGAGCCAACCCTGCTAAGCCCTGCCCAAATTGCAGATTTATGAGCAAAGTTAATGATTGTTGTTATTTTAAGCCACTGAGCTTTGGAATGGCTTGTGATGCAGCATTAGATACCAGAATGCCACCATTTTCTGAGCTGGGCCTCTAGGCCAAATTATATGTCAAACCTTCCACACATACTAGCTCCTTTAATCCTCATACTCCACTCTAAGGCAATAAAACCAATAGCTAACATTTATTGAGTGCTTGCAGTATACCTGGTGCAGTTCAAAATCCTTTTTCTATGTCAATTCATGTAATTGTCCCAATAGCCCTGTTTCACAGGTACTCTTATTCTTATTTTACGGATGTGGAAATAGGCGCCGAGAAATTGGAGAACTTGCTCAAAATTACACAGTAAGTGGCAGAGCCGAGGACTCCCTGTCTGATTTGAAAGCCAGCAATCCTAAATGCTCCATTGTGCTGCTTCAGGCAGAGCAGGTCATTGTCCCTAGTTTTCAGATGAGAAGGCTGAGTATCAGAGAGGTGGAGTGACTTCCTCAAAGTGGCACAGGCTAATGAGCAACTTTGGGCCACTCATTCTCTGGGCGGCTTAGGACTTCCTCCAAGGAAACTGCCATGGCCCTGCTGGAGGTGACTGTTCTTTTGGGCCTGTCTCTGTATAGCCATGGCTGGCTCTCGATCTCTAATGATGTCCCTGAGCTTGCTTCCTTTCCCTGCAACTGTGGCTCTTTTCCCAGTGACCTTTGGCTGTCTCCACACATTCAATTCCATCCTCAAAGCACAGGATTTTCCTAATCAAGAAAGCTCTTCAGAAGAATGTGCCCCAAGCTCATAAGGACTTTCCAAATAACTTTCCAACATTCCAAGGACAGTCTGTGCTTTGAGCTTCAGGCAGTCCTCCCTGCCTTTCCTGCCCCATCTGCCCAGTCTGCCTTGCAGATGAGGGCTGGAGGTGAGCAGGACAGGATATAAGGGATAAAAGTGAACATGAGCTTGCCAATCACACAGACCTGTGGCTTAAGGCAATTATTTAACCACTCAGAACTTCTACTTACTTGCCTGTAAAATGGGATTATCAATAGTCTCTTCTTCATAGGGTTGTTGAATAAAATAATGTTTGTGTTTCCCAGAGTTCCTCTAAGACTCGTTGCTCCAGATAATCGGAGGGTGTCAGCTGCAGAGAGTATTCTTGCCCAAGGTTTTAATCTTCCCATGGTGGCTCGTATCCGAAGACTGACTGATATAGGAGCATAAGGGCCTGGTCATCATGGCCCAATTTGGGACAAGATTGAAGGCCCATTCTAGCTTCAGAGCTGTCCATGGGTTTGGCCAGTGCTGTTATTAGACCTGCATTGTAGCTTGACTTCTTCTTCTGCCCAATTCTATTTTGGTCACTCTCTGCCATCAAGTGTTGATCCAAGGGCCTTTTTAAGTAAGTGTCCTGCACATTAAACTCTGTCTCAGCTGTGACAGCATGAAAAGCACATACTCAGTGCCTGGCAAGTAGTACTAATCCTCTAGAATAATGAATACCATTGTATCTGTATGGAGGAATGCTTTGTAATAGTATGCTAGCACACACCCATCCTTAACTCCATTTTCAGTGACATCACATTGGTATCTTGGAATCAGCCATATATGGGAATCACCAAATGCTACAATCAGAGCCTCCACTCACCCTGGTGACCTGGTTGTTATACATCAGCACACCACTGGAACTTAGTCACGTGGCCACACTTAACTGAAAGGGAGGTTGGGAAATGTAGTCTAGCTGCAACTCCAGAGGAAAGGAAAATGGATGTGGTGAATAGCTAGCCAAAAATACCAGGACCTATTTCTGGAACTGGAGCAATTCCAAACGCCACAGTCTTTCCACATGTAGGATTGAATGGAAGGGATGTTGAGGGGTCAGCCACAATGTCCATCATACTTTTATTCCCAGAATAAAAGCACTTCATGAAGGCTGAATAATCTCATCTGCACAGGTACCCAGATTTGGATACTCTAGGAGCCCTGGAGAGGAAGGTTAGCAGTGACAGCTTGGACCTCCCAAGGCAGAAAGACAAAAGTGGGCACAATGTTCATTTCTTTTGGGCTTAGCTGAACCAGTTTGACAGAACAAAGGGCCCTGCCATACCACTTGTCTTTGCAAACCTAGAGGCAGAGATTCAAAATTAACTCCCCCAAGGGTGGTGCTTAAGATGCCAAAATTAATTCCTCAAAAGCTGGTGCTACAACATGCCTGTGGGGCATATGTGGGCAGAAGAGGCCAAAGCCTCAGGCAGTTTGAAATAAGACTTTCTCCCACCCACCTGAGCTATCTTGGAGAGACACCAATTAAGCAAGCAGAGAAGCAGTAGAAGACATGTCAGTTCCTGGCTGCAGCTTCTCCCCAAGCTGATCTGGGTCATGTCTGACAAGGGACGATGCTGATCAAGGCATTTGGCACCTGACCTCCAAACTAAGCACAGTTGGGCAGTGTGTTAGAATCAGCCCTGGCCACTCAGTGCATAGCAGAGGCTAAGAGCAAGGGCTCTGCGGTCACATAGACATGGCTCTGATGTGCTCCGTGACCTGGCGAAAGTTACTGAAACTCCTTGAGCCTCTTTTCCTCTTCTGTAAAAGATGGCTAGTATCTGTATCTCAGGTGTGGGTAACACCGAGTACAGTGTTCGACACAGAGTAAGTGATGCGATTGTTAAGAAAAAGAAAAAGGAATACTCATATTGAGGACTTATTGACATATAGTGCTCTCTCTACACCACCTCCTTTAGTTTTCACAGCAACTCAGGGCCTCCAAGATATGAACAGTAACCCCTGGAATTTGCAGTGCAGCAGTACAGCAGCAACCCTGTGAGGTAGGAATTCTCTTCCTTATTTTATAGAGGAGGGAACTGCAGCGTCACAGACACTTTCAGGTCCTCACTCATATCTTCTTGCCTCAACCAACTCAGTGAACACTAAGAGCTAGCACCTGCATTTCTTTGCCCAAGGGTTTCCTCTTGCTGTTGGCCCAGCAGGCTGGAAGCATTTATAACCCCTTCACCAGCAGCTTTCAAACATTGACTGATGGGAGTTTGTGCATTGATACCCTATCTCCCTTAACCCTCGGGGGTAATCCCGAGGTGTGTGTTCTATACTGTCTCCCAGATATCCCCAGTGGGACTGAACTCCAGCGGCCCACCGGCAGCTGCCTTAATCACACACCCTCTCATGGCTCTTTCCTTCTGTCTGTCACCTCTCTATTCTCCTGTCAGTTTTCCCTTCACTTCTTGAATAAACTACTTACACTTGAATTTTTATCTTAGGGTATGAAGGACCCCAAATTAAGACATGAGACTTAGAGAGGTCAGGAGATTTGGCCCAGGTTGCTCAGTTCTGGCAGAGTGGCTCACTTGGGTTATCAGGAACCCTGTGTGGGGCCGGGCGCAGTGGCTCACACCTGTAATCCTAGCACTTGGGAGGCCAATGAGGGTGGATCACCTGAGGTCAGGAGTTTGAGACCAGCCTGGCCAACATAGTGAAAACCTGTCTCTACTAAAAATACAAAAATTAGCCAGGTATGGTGGCGGGTGCCTATAATCCTAGCTACTTGGGAGGCTGAAGCAGGAGAATCACTTGAACCCTGGGGTCAGAGGTTGCAGTGAGCTGAGATCATGCCACTTCACTACAGCCTGGGTGAAAGAGCAAAACTCCATCTCAAAAAAAAAAAAAAAAAAAAAAAAAAAAAAAGGACCCTGTGGGCTGGGCACAGCGGCTCATGCCTATAATCCCAGCATTTTGGGAGGTGAGGTAGGAGAATTACTTGATCCCAGGAGTTTGAGACCAGCCTGGGCAACAAAGCAACACCCTGTCTATAAAAAAATAAAAAATAAAAAAAATAGTGTGGTGGCATGTGCCTGCAATCCCAGCTACTCAGAAGGCTGAAGCAGGAGGATCACTTGAGCCTAAAAGGTTGAGGCTGCAGTGAACTATGATGGTGCCATTGCACTGCACTCTAGTCTGGGTGACAAAGGGAGACCTTGTCTCAAAAAAGAACCCTGCATACTTGGGTCTAGTGACAGAAGTGGAGCTGGTTTGGAAGACGTTCTCTACTTTATTTCCTGGGGACCTGGGGGAGAAGTTCCTTTAGTTCCCAGCTACTCAGGGGCAGTTGATATCCTGATCAGCTGGTTTTTTGTTTGTTTTGGTGGAGAGGGTGCTTTTGTCCTCCCCCCGACTTTAAAGTTTAACTTAAAGAATACAGGAATCATAGAGTATAAGGAGGAGGCACTGCCCTTAGGGCTGAGATAGAGTGCCCAAGAAAGAGCTACACTTCCCCTATAGGCTGAGATCCAGACCTTGTTGGAGAGGGCAAGGCTGTGGCAGAGATGTGGCTGACCTGCAGTGCCACCAGGACTTTGGGGAATCTGTCCTCTGGAATATGGGTGAAGCCACCCATGGAGAGATGCCATGCCTTAGTGCTCACTGCAAAGCTGCCTGAGAGGGTGCCTGGGGAGCTACTCACAGGGAGGTACCTTGGCAGTGGCACTCTGCTGCAAATTTGTCCAAGAGGTGCGGGAGAAAGCTGATGGCCACTGCATGCTCTAGGGCACTGGAGAAGCCATACCCTGCTGAGGCCAAGTGCTGGAGAAGCCATGTGAGCCACTGGTGCTGGGCCCTGCAAGAGCCTCATACACCACAGGAGGCAAGTGCTGGATAAGCTGTGTATGCTATGGGGGAGCAGCACTGGGGAAGCCACCTGAACTGGAGCAGCTGCACTAGTGAACCCACACGCAGTGCTGGAAAAGCATGCAGTGCTTCAGAAACCTGCCTGGAGGAGCACGTAGGAGCCAGGAAGAGGATCTCTTCCCCCTCCAGTGTCCCACAGCATTCTTTACTGACAAAGCTTGAGAAGGAGATATATTTACAGAGCCCAGCTCCATTATTATAGAGAGAGAATGAAGGGTAAGTTTAGAGCTTGGAGGCAATATGTTGATAACTGATTGAGTCTACCTTTTGGTTACTCTTTTCTTTCTATGTGACAATTTACCATAAACTTGGAGGCTGCAAGCAAAACACATTACTACAAAGCTACCAGTAATCAGAACAGTGGGGTATTGGCATAAGGATAGACATATATATTGATGGAATAGAATTGAGACTCCAGAAATAAGCCCATACATCTATAGTGAATCAATTTTTTGACATGATGCCAAAACCACTCAATGAGAAAAGAATAACAGTCTTTTCAACAAATGGTGCTGGAACAACTAGCTATCCACAGGCAAAAAAATTACTTTGGATTCTCACTTCACACTATATACAAAAATTAACTCAAAATGTATGAAAGACCTAAATATGAGAGCTCAAACTATACAACTGTTAGAAGGAAACACAGGCATACCTCTTTGTGATCTTGAATTAGACAATGGTTTCTCAAATGTGATATCAAGAGCACAGGATGCAAAATTAAAAAGGGATACGTTGAACTTTATCAAAATTAAAAACTGTTGTGCGGCCAAGGATACTATTAAGAAAGTGAAATGACAACCAACAGAATGAGGGAACATATTTACAAATCATGTAATTGATAAAAGCCTGGTATCAGAATATAGAAATAACTCTTGGCCAGGCGCAGTGGCTCACACCTGTAGTCCCAGCAGTTTGGGAGGCCGAGGTGGGTGGATCACCTGAGGTCAGGAGTTCAAGACCAGCCTGACCAACATAGTAAAACCCTATCTTTACTAAAAATACAAAATTAGCCAGGCATGGTGGCATGTGCCTGTAATCCCAGCTACTTGGGAAGCTGAGGCAGGAGAATTGCTTGAATCTAGGAGGCGAAGGTTGCAGGGAGCCGAGATCATGACATTGCACTCCAGCCTGGATAACAAGAGTGAAACTCTGTCTCAAAAACAAAAACAAAAACAAACAAACAACAACAACAAACAAACAAAAAACTTTTACCACTCAACAATAAAGAAACAATTTAAAAATGGGCAAAGTCGGTTGCTAAACATCATTAGACATTAGGGAGATTTTCAAATTTCAAAATTATAATGAGATATCACTTTACATTCACTAGGGTGGTTGTAATAAAAAAGACGGATGACAAGTGTTGAGCATGTGGAGAAATTGGAACCCTCACATATTGTTGGTGGAAATGTAAAATGATGCAGCCAGTTTGGAAAACTATCTGGCAATTCCTCAAAATGTTAAACAGAGAGTTGCCATGTGATCTAGCAATTATACTCCTGGGTATATACCCAAGAGAATTAAAAACATGTATCCACACAAAAATTTGTAGATGACTGGTCAAATGATTGAATGTTCCATCAAAAAGTGGAAGCAACCTAAATGTTCATCAACTGATGAATGAATAAACAAAATGTGGCATGCTCATAAAGGCCTATTATTCAGCCATTAAAATGAGTGAAATGCTAACATGTGCTGCAACATGGATAAACCTTGAAAACCTCATGTTAAGTGGAGGAAACCAGCCACAACAGCCCACATATTGTATGATTCTATTTATATAAAATGTCCAGCATAGTCAAATCTATAGCGACAAAAAGTAAATTAGTGGTTACCAAGAGAAGAGTGCAGGGAAAAATTAAAAGGTATGGTGTTATTTGGTGGGAAATGATGGAAATATTCTGGGATTAAATAGTAGTGACAGTTGCACATCATTGTGAATATACTAAAAACCACTGAATTGTACACTTAAAAACAAACAAAAAAATCCAAGCCAAACCAAAACAAAAAACCAAACGTACACGTATGACCCTAGTTTTCATGGGTTGGGAGTCTGGGCTTGGCTTAGCTGGGTTTCTTGCTCAGGCTCTCATCAGGTTGCAGTCCAGGTGTCTTCTAGGTTGTGGTCCTTTCTGGAGCTTGGAATCCCTTTCCAAGCTCATGTAGTTGGGAGCATAATTCAGTTCCCTGTGATTGTAGATCTGAGGTCCCCATTTTCTTGCTGGTTGTCAACTGCGGGTCACTCTCAGGTCCTAGAGGTCACTCATAGTACCTTGCCACGTGGCCCTGTCACAGGTCTTCTCATAGCCCTCCGCCCACGACATGGCAGCTTCTTAAAAGCCAGCACAGGACCCTCTGGCTTAAATCTGCGAAAATGGAGACTTATATCGCATAATATAATCATGGGAGTTACTATCTTATCACCTTTGCTGTATTCTATTGGCTAGAAGTAAGTCACAGGTTTCCCTACATTTAAGGGGGAAGTGATGATATACAAAGCCCTTACTTATTGGGGATCACCTTAGCATGTGTCACCACAGCTACTCGGCTTACATGTGCACCCTCTACACACATTTAGAGTCCCATATAATAAAACAATTCCTCTTCCCATCTAACAAGATATAACTATCCTCCTTACATTAGTAAGCAGTTCTCACCTTCTCCCCAAAATGAGGCACTGCACCATCCTGACAGTCATTATATCCATTGCTGGATATATTAATTGTCTTTCAATCTGTTATAGTACCACCGAATATTCTGTTATCTAAAGGCTAAATTATAAAATTAAGCTTCAAAAACTTGTATAATATAAAACAAAAATAAGAAGAAAAAGAATAAAGTAGTTAGCACATTCTTCTAACAAGCAAAGAGAGCATTTGCAGAGCTGCTACAGGCCTTGATTCTGTAATAGGTCATGAGGTCATAGCTGATATCCATGGCTTCCTTCTTCCGTTACCCACCCCTCAGACAAGGTCTTGCTCTGTTTCCCAGGCTGGAGTGCACAGTGGTGCAGTCACAGCTACCGCAGCCTTGACCTCCCAGACTCAAGCGATCTTCCACCTCAGCAACCCGAGTAGCTAGGACTACAAGCACATGCCACTCTACCTGGCTAATTTTTAATTTTTTTGTAGAGATTGGGCCTCACTATGTTGCCCAGACTGGTCTCAAACTCCTGAGCTCAAGCGATCCACCCATCTCAGCCTCCTAAAATGCTGGGATTACAGGTGTGAATCACCACGCCTAGCCTCTACTACCCAATTTGTGTTTCCTTTGCTCTCCAACAGAGCCTCAGTTAGTTGGGGTTCCTTATTTGATGGGGCAATCCAAACCTTCCTTCTCAAATGGCCTGAGTCCTCAATTATTCTGCCTTTTTTCGGGTTGCTATAGTTTTATCTTAATGTTTATTATTGGGCATGGACACACTAAGAGGCGATCCATAGAATCCACTGCATTCCAGGCATAGATCTTCTTGTCCCCACTTTGTGGCAGCCGCAATCCAGTTTTCTCTTGTTAATCAGGATCAATCATTCCAACCCACAGAATAACGCCCTTTTCTGCTTATTGATTCAGTGGCATAAAGAGTCCCAAAATGGCCAAGTGACAGCCTCACCTTCCAATTCAATGGAATCATTTTTGCATTCTCTGATTGAAGTATTTCCACCTGGGAAATAATCAAAGCTAGTATTTCTCATTGCCTTAGTCAAGTGAGTGTCTGCTGGGCTTTCTTATGAAGACAGTTGGCAGGTGAGTGGGCAGATTGCATGTGATACATCCAGGCAAAACTTCTGGTCTCCCTAAGCCTTTGAATTTCCTCCTCTGTGTAATTTTAGGGAAGTTCTGGCATCTCAATATCATTCAGTGTAAGTCACCATTGAGCCCAAGTTTTAGTCAACAACCAAGAAAGCAGTTAGAGACGCTTCCAGTAACATGAGGTCCATACAAGTTAGAGCTATCCTCCTTAAAAGTATGACATTCTCACGCTCTCCCCCAAATCCAGTCACTAGTAAGTTCACTTACATCAGTGAATTTGCTCACTATAGTGTTATAATCTACCCTACTTGGTCTAACACCTTTCAATTCCATACTCACACATGTTACCCAGGTTAATGCTGATATACATTAGCAAATTTTTGCAATTCTTTTGGTGTTTAAGCTATTTTCTCCAAGGTCATAATGTGTACCTGTCTCCCTGGAGCATACTGTTATTTGACCCTAGTTATAGGTCTAGTGGCAACAAAAGGTGGTCGTGGTGGGTTTGGAAAAGAATGACCATACCTTTTCAAGGTATTTGCCTCAGATGAGGTTGTCACAGGGCTATCAAGCAAAGAAATGCTAGTGTCCTAATACACCAGAGGGCAAGCTACTTCCACTGGTAAGAGAAGCTCACAGTGATTTTGGGATTCAAGATTATCAACTTCATCTAGGTCCAACCAGATGTCCCTGTTTCCAGTTTTATGATTCCATTTTTTTCCAATCAACTTTCATTTGAGCAACTTAGTAAGCTTGTGAATCTGACTGACACTATAATTCGGCAATCTACACAATTAAATTTTTGTTATCTTTTTCAGCAACATCAGCCTTGTATCTATAAGAAATAAAATATTCATTTAACCTCTCTGGTTTTCAGGTCATGATTTGAGCTGAGTTTGGCATTTTCTCCCTATAAGCATTCAAGTCCACTCAAAAGAATATATTCCACACTGCAGTCATTACAGTCATCATTACTGCTGTAACAATCAAGTGGAGCATCCTCCTGGGCTCCCTGGACACTTGCTTCGGTTGGTTGTAGCTTGTTTAATTGGCACTGCATGCAATGAATTGCTAGCATCCCATTTCCCATTGGTAAGAAGCTCATTACTGTGCTCAAGCCCAAGGGCATGACCAAACCAATGCCCAAGTCCCATCTTTACAGATCTATTTCCTGAGACGACTCCTATGTCAGCCAGAGTCTAGTCAGGGGATAAAAACTGTACAGTAATTTGAACAGAGAAAGTTTAATATGAACACGGTTAACTATAGGAGAGAATTGGCATAATAAGGGATTGGCTGGTAAGAAGTGAAGAACTGTAAAGAATGCAGGAATAGCAGGTATGAGGAGTACCCACTACTCTTAGGACTGAGATGGAGTGCTCGAGGACGATCCCCGAGCTCCACACTGTGATCCAGACCTTGTTGGAGAAGGCATGGCTGTGGCTCACTGACTAGTGGAGCAGTGTCCAAGCTACTGCCCCAGCGGGACTTGCTGAAATCTTCCCTCCTGCATCCCAATGAGGACCATCCATGCAGAGATGCTGTGCCTTGAAACTTGCTGGAAATCTGCCCAAAGGGGAGCCACCAGAGGCAGTTCACAGGGAGGTACCTCATCTGTGGCATTCCACTCTGAAGTCACCTAAGGAGTTTCTGGGGAAACCTGTTTGCATTTGGGTACTGCTGGCTGCTGCACCCTGTAGGGACTGGTGCCTGCCTTTTAGGAGTTGGAAGTTGAAGCCAAGACTGGACCCAGGTGCTGCAGAAGCCACATGCACTGCAGAAGCCAGACACTGGAGAAGCCACATGTGCTACTGGAGCTAGAACCTGCAAAAGCAGCCTGCACTTCCAGAACCAGGTGATGCATAAACCATAAAAGCCTGTGGAGAGAAGTGCACTGGGAAAAGGAAGAGAAACACCTTTCTCCTTCAGTGTCTCTTCTGTGTCCCCTCATGTCAAAGCTTAACATTGTGCTGCCTGGCAAAGGAAGAATCTTCACAAGGCCCAACTCTATTATTGCAGACCAGGCAATAAAGGGAGACTTTGGAGCTGAGAAGCAGTACGTTTGTAATTGGCACATGGAACAAACATTGTAAATTATCTAACACTGCATGTCCAGTATAACCACATGTGGCTACTCCAATTTACATTAATTAAAATTAAGTAAGTATGTAAAATTCCAGTCCTCAGTCATGCCAGCCACATTTCAAGTGCTCAATAGCCACATGTGGGTAGTGGTTGCTAGAGTAGAACATTGCAGCTGCAGGACATTTCCTCCATTGAAGAAATTTCTGTTGAACAGCCCTAACATCTCTTTGGTCATCTCTTTGCTTTGGCTGCTAGAAAGCTTGGACATAAATTTCATCTTCAGGTTAAGGATAAGGTACATCTCTAGCAAATGATAAGTCTATATTCTAACCCTTGGCCTCCTCTTACTTTCTCTTCATCTCAATTTCCTAATCTATTTATTTTATCCTGCTCTATTCCTTTCAGTAAACTTTTAAAATTTACATATGTTGCAGGATTAGGATGGCTAAAATAAACATCCTTCAAGTAGAATACCCTTATTTTTAAAGCCGGATGAATCCTTAGAGATCAACTTGTTCGTTTTTCAAATGAAGAAGTCAAAGCCTAGAAAGTGAAAATAAGCCACCCATAGTCTCAGAGTCAGAACCAGGATGATGACTCAGGTCTAATGACTCCCATTCCAGGTCTCACTGCACAGAATTCAATCTCTGGCTCCAAGATTTGAGGGTGACGTCACCTGAGGAAATAATTAGTCCTGAAATTTAACCCACGATTCATGGCTCTCTTCTGAGGTCCTAAAGTCGGGGCTCAAAGCCTCAGATGAGAAGGAAAATTCGAGCAGATTCAGGGAGAGGTCATGGCAACCTCCTACAAGCCTGCCAGAGTCACTTGCCACCTTTACCTTGGTATCCTTATTCATGGATGGGGGCTGGTTGACTCTCTGCAGCCATCACCTGAGATCCTGTTCATACCTCAGGTGTGCCTTAATACCAGTCTGCCCTGCAGTCCTATGAATTTCTGTTCTACTGGGTCTCCAGTGTTTCCTCTGCCCACTTGCCTGACTATTGTCCCTGTCTCCTTCCCCTTCTGAAACTACAAGGCCACAGCATGCTTTGATTGGCAGAAGTTGCAGATACCTATTGGGAAGTTGTCTGTGATACAAATGGCTCATATAACTGACAGAGAAAGCAACTGAGAGTGAGCCTACTAGGTGCCAGCCTTATGCTGCATGGTATTTTGTGTATTATGTTTACCTCCTAAATAGCTCTTGGATCTGCCTACTTCTCTATCCTCACTGCCACAGCCTAGTACAGACACGTCATCTCATCTCTTATCTGCAAATGTCTTCTAATTGGTCTCCAACCAAATCAGTTCTCCTCTCTGAAGCAAAGTTGTTGTCTTTTTAACAAGTGCAATTCATATAGCGTAAAATTCACCTTTTTTGAGGTATAGTTTTGTGAATTTTGACAAGCACATGCAGTCACATAACCACCACCACAATCAAAATTTAGAACAATTC
Source organism: Homo sapiens (assembly GCF_000001405.40). Classification (NCBI taxonomy): domain Eukaryota; kingdom Metazoa; phylum Chordata; class Mammalia; order Primates; family Hominidae; genus Homo; species Homo sapiens. The sequence goes on along the minus strand of NC_000020.11, from coordinate 2,041,779 downwards.
CAAGATTTTAAAAATTAAAATTTAAAAATTAAAAAATAAACAGTACAGTTCTGTCACCCAGAGAAGTTCCCCTGAGGCTCCTTGCAGGCAACTCCTTCCTCTACCCCCAGGCCCTTGCAAGCATTGCTCTGTTTCCTATCCATACAGTTTTGGCTTTTAAAAGATACCATATAAATAAAGTAACATAGTAGGATTCTTTTGAGTCTGGCTTCTTTCATGCAGCATAATTCTTACGTGATTCATCTGTGTTGTTGTGTGTATCAGTAGTTTGTTCCTTTTTGTGGCTCAATAGTAGTATTTCATTGAATAGATGTACATAGTTTGTTTATCCCTTCACCAGTCAATGGACATCTGAATTGTTTCCAGGTTTCTGGTGATTTTCTGTAAAGCTGCTATTTAATACAAACATTTACCTCCAGTTTGTGCTTGTGTGTGAATGGAGCTGAAATGCTGGTTCAGTTGCTTGCCACTTGCAGAGTCCAGTTAACAGTGAGGTCTCGTATAAAGTGATTTTTTATTCCAAAGCTAGCTTAGGGGAAGAAATACGGGCTTCCTGCTTTAAGGGTACCACTTACTTTTAGAGCAGAAGGTGAGCACTTTTAAAGGGGACCTAACATGAACAGCATGAGGAGGGGTAGGGGGAAATGAGCGGGTAGGGGGTCTTCGTGTTAGCTTAGTGCCTTATCTACCAGGCTGTCAAGCTGGTGACTGCTGATGTTTTTGTGGGCAGGCATACTTTGGGTTGTAATTGACTGTTACCTCTCGAGGTAACCTCCTAGCGGGTGAGAGTTCCTTTCTGGAGTGCCTAAGCACATAGTTGCAGGTGAACTTGCCTTGTAGGGAGTGTCTGGTGAAGGGGAAGGAAAGCTATATTTTCATTTCTAAAGGGCTAAGTAGGAAGTAGGGAAAAGGAGAAAAGAAGAGACAGAGAAAAAATTATTAAATTATCTCTTAGAAAAATGAGGGTACTCAGTTACATGAACATACATTTAATTTCAGTTGAGTAAATACTTAGAAGTGGGATTGCTGGTTTCAGGGTATTTCTAACTTCATACAAAACTGCCAAACTATTCCTCAAAGTAGCTGTGCCATTTTGTGTTTCCACCAGCAGCATATGAGAGTTTCAGTTGCTCCATAACATCACCAACCCTTTATATGGTTGATTCTTTTTAAAAATAGGAATTTTTTTTTTTTTGAGACAGAGTCTTGCTCTGTCACCCAGACCGGAGTGCAGTGGCATGATCTTGGCTCACTGCAACCTCTGCCTCCCGGGTTCAAGTGATTCTCCTGCCTCAGCCTCCCAAGTAGCTGGGACTACAGGCTCTCACCACCACACCTGGCCAATTTTTGTATTTTTAGTAGAGACGGGGTTTTGCCATGTTGGCCAGGCTTGTCTCGATCTCCTGACCTCAGGTGATCCACCCACCTTGGCCTCCCAAAGTTCTGGGATTACAGACATTGAGCCACTGCACCCATCCCAGGAATGTTTTTTTAACAATTCAAATTTAGTCATGCCACTCCCCTATTGAAAATCCTCTGATTGCTTCTTATTGCTCAAAATTCTCAAGGTGGCCTTGAAGATTTGGCAATTGTCAGCTGGGTGCAGTGGCTCATGCTTGTAATCCCAACATTTTAGGAGGCCGAGGCAGGCAAATCACTTGAGGTCTGGAGTTCGAGACCAGCTGGCCAACATGGCAAAACCCTGTCTCTCCTAAAAATATAAATATTAGCCGGACATGGCGGTGTACGCCTGTAATTCCAGCTACTTGGGTGGCTGAGGTACAAGGATCACTTGAACCTGGGCGACAGAGGTTGCAGTGATCCAGGCTGGAGCACTGCACTCCAGCCTGGGCGACAGAGCATGACAGAGCATGACTCTGTCTCAAAAAAAAAAAAAAAAAAGTCCTGCAATTGCTGATGCTCATTCCCATCTTTCATATGTGCTATTGCTTCTAACTGAATATCACCCCTGACCTTCCAACTCTGCCCACTGAATTCTTGCTCTTGACCGTCATGCCTTCACCCTTCCTTAACCTCCCAGTTTAGGTGGGTCCCTGTTAGGTCACCATGTATCTATCACAATTGTAACAAGATAATTAATTTTATAATGAGGTATTGAATATGTGTCTGCCTCATTAGAGCGTCAGCTCTGCCATGGCAGGTAGCATGTCTTATTCACTACTGTACCTTCAGGGCCAGAACACAGCCTGCACGGGTAGGTGCTTAATAAGGTTCTCTTGGGCAAGAGATTTCATTTAGTTGTCTTAACAACCCTGAATGGAACTATGATTGTTTTCATTTTACAGAAAGTCTCAGGGGGGTGAAGTAAATTGCCTCTGTTGCTCTGCCAAAGCCAAGATTTAAGTCCTGGTGATCCCTACCCGTTTTCCCTCCCTTGGTCACCAAGTCTGAAGCCCCCTGCCCCCACGTTTACAGATGGCTGGGCCGGTTGTTGAGTCTGCTGGGGCCTGCCTCTCATTCTAGGGACATTTTCCTAAGGTCTTCTGAGAAGATAAAACAGAGATGGGATGGGATATTCAGCTTGTCCTATCCCTTATTTCATTGACTCCTAACAACAGCCCTGTATTTTTACCTCATTTTACAGCGGAAAAAGTGAGGCACAGGTAAAGAAAAAGATCCATTGTATGTCCCACAGCCAGTGCTGCCGTCTTTCTCCCTCTGAGGGAAGTGGCCCATGAGGAGTGGTTTAGGAGGGATGGAGGGATGCCTCTGGCATCACATCACCCAGAGGGCTCATTAAAATCCAGATTTATGGCTCCCACCACCAGAGATTCTAATTCAGTGGGGCTGGATGGGGTGTGAGAATTTGCATTTCTAGTAAGTTCCCTGGTGAACCTGTGGACCACAATTTGGACTACTACCTTATGGCATGCTTACTTCTTCAGGTCAGTGGGGCCTCTCACTGCCCCTAGAGTCCTAATAATAATAGCAGCCAATATCTTATTGAGCATTTACTATGTGCTTGGTACTGTTCTAATGATGTCACACACAACGCCTCACTTAAACCCACAATATCCCCATTTTCCAGATGGGGAAACTGAAGCACTGAGATGTTAAATAATTTGCCCAAGGTTGCAGCTCCCGTAAGGATTGGAGCTGGGCTTTGAACCCAGGCAGTCTGGCTTTAACATCCACACCTACAAATACCACACTATATTGCCCACTGCTCACAATAGTGCCTGCCCTTCCATCAGCACTGGCAGGACCAGTCCAACCTGAATACTTTTCAGGGCAGGGCCGGAGGTCATGTTCCCCATTTTGTTTACAGTTAGTCTCCCCTCTCCCCAGTTTAGTTCTTGGGCCACATTTAAATGGAATGCAAACCTTCTCCAGTGTCTCCAGCAAGTGGCAGTTGACACCTCTACTGGCATTTCAAGAGCCAACCCCCGGCATCATGCTACTTGTTGACAACTCCTCAGCTACACGCAATCAGTGATTACACACTGTCAGGGGCTTGCAAATAGCTTCCCCCTTGGAGCTGTGGCTCTGGAAGGCAAAGGTGTCTTGAAGAGGATTCTGCAGAGACAAGCTGATGATGACATCTGAGGGCTGGGAGAACAAAAGCTTTATATTGAACAGTAGCCAAAAATAACTCTTTTATATTGGGAGGAAGAGCCATCGAAAATTCATGGTAGTGAGAAAAAAATGCAGATGTCAACTTTCCTGAGGCTAAGTGGCTAAAAGTGGTACATTTAGCTGCACAGTCCCAGAGAACATCAGAGGGAAGCTATAATGTCAGAGCTGGAGAGATTCTTAAGGATGTGTGAGCCCAGTCTCTTCTTATTTCACCTAAGAAAGCTGAGGCCCAGCGAGGGTCAGGTCCTGCTTAAGATCACACAGCAGATCTTGGCCTCCCATTTAGTGAATGGGCTCCAGGGTCTGGAAGGAGGGATGCAGGCTATCTGGGCAAAGGCAGGCTTGCAGAAGAGGCCAGTCAAAGGGGGGCTTACAAAAGACACCAGCCTTGTCTTCCTCTGTCCAACTTCCAGAGTCATCGGAGAGGATACTTCTAATAGCACACACTTTATCAGATTATTGCTGATTCAAAGATTTTGATGGCTTCCCACTAGACAGAATGAATCCAAACCCTTGTGGAATGGATAAAGTTCAAGCTGACATAGGGCAGTACAGCTTGGTGGTTAAGAGCATGGAGTATGGAGTCAGAGAGACCTGGGCTCATGTCGTGGCTTTGCCACTTACTAGCTGTGTGACATTCAGCAAGGTACAGAATCTTTTGGAGGATCAGTGTCCTCAGCTGCAAAATGGGTTCATAGTAGCAGTTATTCTCAGATAGTTGAGAGAATTAGATGAGATAATACAAGTAAACGGACTTGGCAGCATTCTCGACTCACAATATTGTTATTAATTGTTCTATATGTGGCACCCAAGGGCCTCCATGATTTGCTCCCAGCCTACCTGTCCAGCCTTGTCTTCATTTTGGCCCCATTCTTACATGTCTTGGTGCCAGGCTCTCTGTTCTTTCTGCCTTGAAAGCCCTTTCTTCTGTTGGTGTTTAAGACTCGGCTCAGGTGTCTCCTTCCCTGGGAAATATTTCCTGATTCCTGATTTGTATTATGAACTTCTGCTGGGAAGAAGAAGGTCAGTCACTGCTATTTGGCACAAACGTTAAGAGCAATCTGGAGTTTTGAGCAGTTTGAGTCTGAGCACTGAATCTGCCTACTACTTGCCAAGCAACTTGGAGACTTGCCTCCTTAAGCTCCAGTTCCCTTATGGGTATAATAATAACGACCTTGGGATTTTTCTGAGGATTGGAGGAGGTGATCTCTGTAAAGAGCTTAGCACAGGCTCTGGCACATAAGCACTTATTGAATTATAGTACTTATTGAATAGCATTAAGTAGCTGTTATTTTAACAAGAGATAACTGGGCTCTTAAGTACCTGACTATATGTGGCTGCTTCTTTATTCCCACTTTACTCTGGTCTACTGTCCATCCAATTTTGTGCCTTTGACCATCTACCCACCATCCACCCATGTCCCCACCATCCACTCATCTCTCAACTAGCCATCCACCTACAATTCATCCACCCACCATTCCTTATGCATCTATTCACTGTCCATCCATTCATCTACTATCCACCTATCCACCCACCATTCCTTACGCATCATCTATCCACTGTCCATCCATTCATCTACTATCCACCTATCCACCCACCATTCCTTACGCATCTATCCACTGTCCATCCATTCATCTACTATCCACCTATCCACCCACCATTCCTTATGCATCTATCCACTGTCCATCCATTCATCTACTATCCACCTATCCACCGACCATTCCTTACGCATCTATCCACTGTCCATCCATTCATCTACTATCCACCTATCCACCCACTTACCTACTACTCATTCACCATCAGTCAATCTCTCTCTTCACCAAACACCATCTACTTATCCTTCCATCCTCTCCATCAATATGGAGTGGACACCTATTATACTTCAGAATTTGTAGAGATTTAGAGATAAATCAATGAAGGCAACAGGATGTCATTGAAAGATTGGGAGCTTTGATGTCAGGCAGACCTGGATTCTAGATCAGGCCAGCTCTATGACCCTCTAACATTACTTCGCCGTGAGAATGTGGCAAGACACTTCTCAAACCATGTGTGTCTTTTAACACATTTTCCCATTCTGAACACTTAAGCATTTATATAGCCACTCACCTGAGCATCTCCTTGGGCTTGATTCTATGCTGATGCCCAGCCACA